>NC_000017.11:1248686-1400201 GCF_000001405.40 Homo sapiens | reverse complement strand
TGCTGCCCGGACGCGGAGCGAGAGGCTGAGAGAGTCGGAGACACTATCCGCTTCCATCCGTCGCGCAGACCCTGCCGGAGCCGCTGCCGCTATGGATGATCGAGAGGATCTGGTGTACCAGGCGAAGCTGGCCGAGCAGGCTGAGCGATACGACGGTGAGTTGGGGGGGCAACGGGGGGCTGGAATTCTCGGACCCTCTGCCGCCGCCCACAGAGGCCGGGAACAGGAGACAAAATGGCGGCATCGTCTGCGAGCCTGGCCCGGGGGCTTGGGTTCGGGAAGCAGGAAATGGCCTGGGAGCTCCCGGGGCGATGGGAGGCTCTATGCCCTGGAATGTGACCCCTTCGCCGTCCTTAACTGCAAACAACTCGCGGGCCGGGAGGCCGGGGCGACGGGGTGGAGGAGTTGGTTGTAAAATGGCGGCTGGGGGGAGGGCGAGTCCCGGGGCGGGGGAGGGGGAGGAGATGGCGGGTGCTGTCTCCGAACGAGCCACCCTCATGGGAGCTTCTGGGACGGCCTTGGGATGTGGAGAACAATTGGGTGGGGTGACGGGGGAAGCAGCACCCGCCACATGGGAGAGAGCGAAGACCGGGAGCTGTAGCGCGGGCGCCTTTCAGGGAAATATGGCGGGTGGGGGCGGTGGCTTTTCCCCGGAGGCCCCGTGTGGGGCGGCGGCCGTGGAGTCTCACAAAGGAGGACCTTTGAGAGCGATGGGCTTCCTCAGGCCTGAGGTGGGGGACAGTCGTGGATGATGGTGGGGGGAGAGGGGTGAGTGGGAATCACTGCAGTTCGTCTTCGGGCGGTGGCAGGCTCCCATGCTGCGATCGGGTTTCTTTCCCGTAGGCCGGCACCTCGTAGTGAGGGGTTTCGGGGCTTTTCCTCCTCGTCGTCTTCTGGGGAGGCCCAGAAAATCCTCACTCCCTCCCTTTCCTCAGACTTAAAACAGGAGATCTCGAAGTTCCTGTAACCTTTCTCTGGCTCCATCACCCGTGGGTTCTGATGGATAGAACCAGGAGGCCACGACTCTGAGAGTTCGAGCCTTTGTAGAGCCCGAGCCTCCGTCCCCCCGTTTGTAAAAACGATGACTTTACAGTTTGTGCGCACCGTGATGACAAATGGGAAGACCTGTTGAAATAAAGTTATTTCCAATAGTGTTCAGTAACTGTATTTTGGTTGACTCTGCAGGCTCGGAATGCTGGTCTGTACTTCGTGGGGGATCTTAACCTATTCCAGGCGCTCGGCTGAGGCTGGGTTTTTTGAGTTATGAAGGTTGAAGATCCTGTTGCTTTCTTTTTTTCCGTTTTAAATAAATGGGTTTATGTAGAAATATTAGTAGGTCCTCTTTGTTCGTTGTTCTTTTGCCCCTAATGGGTTCTCCAGTCCTTTTTCAGAACTTCATCGAATGTCCATTGTGTCTGTCCAGTCATTGTCAGGAAGTTTATTCTTAATCCTCTCTCCCAGTCCACCTTTTGGACCACCTTTTGAAATACCCACACATTTATAATTGTGCGATACTGTAGTATTAAACGAAAGGTCATGTCTGTGGGTCCTGTGGTTTTAATGCTTTTGCGTGGTAGGGTGGGGTGAGACATGGTTGGAATCAAGTATCTTTGATTCTTAGATTTTTTTCCTAATTAAAATACCTATATTTCAAAATGTTAGGGCCCTTGCTTTCCTCGAAATGCGGATTTAGTCATGTGAATAACCTCAGGGTTAGTCCCCCTTATCATCAGAAATAAGATTCAGGGATTTGAAAATAAGACAAGGCCTCTAGAACTCATATTTAGGAAATATAGTGAACTAAATTTCGTCTTGTAAATTCTTAAATTGCTATTTGTATTCAACAAGGTTCCTGTTGGGGGGGGGGATAAGATGGGGAAGTACAGCTCAAGGTCTGCTTTGTCTTTATTTCAGTGTTTAAAAATCAAAGAGATATGAATGTGCTTGTATTGGAAGTCTCCTCCTCCGCCCCCTCATCTCCAGATGTTCCCCTCTTAATCTGTTAGTGTTCTTGGGAGGAAACAAATTGTACTTGAATGCTTTCTATTTTGTGGGTATTGGGGCTTTTTAAGTAAACTTGCTGTGATAACTAGAAAGGATGTGAGGAAAGGTCTTTTTCTTTTTGAAAGCTCCTTTAAAAAACTGATTTGAAAGCTTGTGATTGTAGTTTCCAAATAAAGTACAGGTTAGTGATAATTATATTTTTGATGTGAGTGGTGAGGATTTCTGACCAGAGCCCTTATTGGTTATTGAACATGGGACTCTGATACAGCCACATTATTACAGTTGTTAATGTTAGGTGTCCCCTTCAGGATCTAAAGGGGTAAGGAAATAGGATCTACAAGGTGAGGAGCTATTGCTGTGACTTGGGGCATAAGGTAGGGACTCAGTGGAAAGGAGAGGAGGAGGAGGAGACAGAAACCAGGAATTTCTACCTGTGTCCTCTACCTGTGTCCATTCCTTTATTGAGTGCGGTATTTTTTTGTTTCTGGTGGCAAAGTTTTCCCGGAGTTCTGGTCACCAAACAGAACTTAGCAGGTGTCGGGGGTGGAAGAAGGTAAGACAGTGTATTGGCAGGATTTCTTTGTTGGGTACTTGTACCCAAATGCTGGGTTTCCAGCTGCCCTTTTATCTCTCTGTTACTGCAGCAGGCTTATTTTATTTTGCTTGCTGTGTTGAATTAGTGCCTAAACTTCTTTGTATCCTCATTTAATTCTATCCTGGGGCGTTGGAATCAATTTATATGGATTATTTAACAGTACGGGAGGAAGAGCTAACCTGTGTTCAGGAAAATGACAATTTTGGGTCACAGGAAATATTTAAGTTTGGGGCTGGGAGTTGAAGATTAAATCTAGCATCTCATCACTTTAACAAGCCAGTAGTCTATTCGAATCGTTTTTACCTCCTTTGAAACCATATTAAGCAAGTCCATTATTTCTTAGCATTTCTCAAACAGCTCTTACTGTCCCGTATATGAAATAGTACAAGAAAGTGGGGAAGAAAGGCCGGGCGGGGTGGCTCACGCCTGTAATCCCAGCACCTTGGGAGGTCGAGGCGGGTGGATCACCTGAGGTCGGGAGTTCAAGACCAGCCTGGCCAACATGGTGAAACCCTGTCTCTACAAAAATAAAAAAATTATCCGGGCATAGCTACTGAGGAGGTTGAGGTGGAAGAATCACTTGAACCCGGGAGGTGAAGGTTGTAGTGAACCAGGATTATGGCATTACACTACAGCCTGGGCAACAGAGCGAGACTCTTGTCTCCAAAAAAAAAAAAAAGAGGCCAGGTGCGGTGGCTCATGCCTGTAATCCCAGTACTTTGGGAGGCCAAGGCGGGTGGATCACCTGAAGTCAGAAGTTCGAGACCAGCCTGACCAACATGGAGAAACCCCGTCTGTAGTAAAAATACAAAATTAGCCGGGGGTGGTGGGTGCCTGTAATCCCAGCTACTTGGGAGGCGGAGGCAGGAGAATCACTTGAACCCGGGAGGCCGAGGTTGCGGTGAGCCGAGATTGCGCCATTGCACTCCATCCTGGGCAACAGCAACAATAAAAAACGGGGAATATAGAGGGGAAAAGTTTACCCGTTTTTGGGGAGCAGAGGGGTAACATAAACTACATTTGGGCTTGTGGGGCTGTTGTTGGTTTTGTCCTTTCCTAGTCTCTTCCCTATCAAGATTGGCTTCATGGAAGGTAGGATGAAGTTTTGATGGTCATGTTGGATTCCCTAGGAATGCATCTGTTGAGTCATTTACTTGAGAGCTGTCTTTTTTTTCTTTTGAGACGGAGTCTCGCTCTGTCTCCCAGGCTTTATTGAAGTGGCACAATCTCGGCCCACTGCAACCTCCGCCTCCAGGGTTCAAGCGATTCTCCTGCCTCACCCTCCCGAGTAGCTGGGACTACAGGCATGTGCCACCATGCCATGCTAATTTTGTATTTCTTTTTTAGTAGAGACACGGTTTCTCCATGTTGGTCAGGCTGGTCTCGAACTCCCGACCTCAGGTGATCCGCCCACCTCAGTCTCCCAAAGTGCTGACATTAAGGACCTGAGCCACCGCGCCTGGTCAAGAGCTGTCTTTTTTTTGAGACGGAGTCTTGCTCTTGTCGCCCAGGCTGTAGTGCAATAGCGCGATCTCGGCTCACTGCAACCTCCATCCCCTGGGTTCAAGCGATTCTCCTGCCTCAGCCTCCAAGAGTAGCTGGGATTACAGGCATCCGCCACTATGCCAGGCTAATTTTGTATTTTTAGTAGAGATGGGGTTTCGCCATGTTGGCCAGGCTGATCTCGAACTCCTGACCTCAGGTGATCCGCCCGCCTCGGCCTCCCAGAGTGCTGGGGTTACAGGCGTGAGCCACTGAGCCCGCTGAGAGCTGTCCTTTTAAAACACCAGATCCTCATCTCTAGCTAGCTTATTCTGCTAGTTAGTGAAGAACAGGGAAGGGAGCATGTGTGGAATGAACTTTTTACTACGGTCTTGTTAGGAAAAAAATAGGTAGTAGTAAATTAACGTTGTTAATAAGTTTAGAAGTATTTAGATTAACTACCAGTTCTTTGACTGTAGGCCAGTAATTTTCCATTGCCGTTTCAGTTAATGGACTAACTTTCTGGAGTAAAGTTTATTTTTCTCCTTCTTAAATGCATAGACAGAACTGAGTAACGTAGTGTTAAAAATCCCTTCTACGACTGGGCTCTGTCCCCCAGGCTGGAGTGCAATGGCGTGGTCTTGGCTCACTGCAACCTCCGCCTCCCAGGTTCAAGCGGTTCTCCTGGCTCAGCCTCCCAAGTAGCTGGGACTACAGGCGCGTGCCACCACACTCGGCTAATTTTTTGTATTTTTAGTAGAGACGAGGTTTCACCATGTTGGCCAGGATGGTCTTTATCTCCTGATCTCAGGTGATCTGCCCACCTCAGCCTCCCAAACTGCTGGGATTACAGGTGTGAGCCACCGCACCCAGCCAATTTTTGTGTTTTTGGTAGAGACAGGGTTTTACCATGTTTGCCAGGCTGGTCTTGAACTCCTGACCTCAGGTGATCTGCCTGCCTCGGCCTCCCAAAGTGTTGGAATTACAGGCGTGAGCCACCACACCCGGCCTGATTGTTTTTTTTTTTCATGGATGACTGTAAGGGTGACTGATACTGCAGGCATATTTTTTCTTTATATTTCAAGAACACTGTGTACACAAACAGTAATGACAAGCATGGAGTAAAGGCTGCAGTTTTATTTTTATTTATTTTTTTGAGACAGTCTTGCTCTGTCACCTAGGGTGGAGTGTAGTGGTAGGATCTCGGCTCACTGCAGCCTCTGCCCCCTGGGTTCAAGCGATTCTCCTGCCTCTGCTTCCCGAGTAGCTGGGACTACAGGCGCCCGCCATCGCACCTGGCTAATTTTTGTATTTTTAGTAGAGATGGGGTTTCACCATGTTTGCCAGGCTGATCTCTGACTCCTGACCTCAGGTGATCCTCCCGCCTCAGCCTCCCAAAGGGCTAGCATTACAGGTATGAGCCACTGTACCTGGCCTAAATTTTTAATTTTTTAATGGGCACATATTAGGTGTATGTATTTATGGGAAGGCTAAATTAAAAAAAAATTTTTTTTTGAAACAGGGTCTTGCTTTGTGACCCAGGCTGAAGTGCAGTGTCGCCATTATAGCTTACTGCAGGCTCGACCTCCTGAGTTCCAGTGACCCTCCTGCCTCAGCTTCCCTAGTAGCTGGGACTGTTGCACCGGCCTAATTTTTGTGTTTTTTTTTTTTTTTTTTTTTTTTTGTGGATTTGAGGTCTCTATGTTGCCCAGGCTGGTCTTGAATTCCTGGACTCCCACCTTGGCCTCCCAAAGTGCTGGGATTACAGGTGTGAGTCACTGCTTCTGGCCTAAACTTTACATATGTGTATATGACATTATGCAGTACCTCAGTTCACAGCCCACGTTGACAAAAGTTTTTAATTTATGTAACAAGATTGAAGCAGGTAGAGCGTTACTCCCATTTTCTGGTTCAAGAAAGTGAGTTTGAGAGAGAGATTTTTTTATGATCATGTGGCTAATCAGTTATTAAATGGTAAAGCCAGAACTTAGTGTCTGCTGACCTTTAGATCGGTACACTTACTCTCAGCCACTCAAAAGACCTCTGTGAAGTAAGGTGGTGCCTTTCAGGGGAGTAGGGGGTGAGTAGCGTATGCTTGATGCTTGTTCTTTAACAATTCTAATAGCATCTACTTCACATCTTGATGTTTGTGATGACTGATATCCATGGTGAATTGTAGACAAAATCTTTTCACTTTCCTAAAGAAACCTGATGGTTTTTTTCAGAGATAAAATCCCATCTCAAGGCACAGCGAAATTAAAATGAGGTGAAGTTTAGGTACTCTCAGAATGTTTATTCGCATACAGATTCTTAAAAAACATGATTTATTGTAGGCAGATGTCACCTCTTTAAGCAAAAGAAAAAAACAACCAAAAAAAGAAAAGCCCCAGCCGGGTTCCGCGGCTCAAACACCTGCAATCCCAGCACTGTGGGAGGCCGAGGTGGGCGGATCACCTGAGGTCAGGAGTTTGAGACCATCCTGACCAACATGGTGAAAACCAGTCTCTACTAAAAATACAAAAATTAGCTGGCCTGTGATGGCTTGTGCCTTTAGTCCCAGCTACTGAGGAGGCTGAGGTGGGAAATCGCTTGACCCTGGGAGGTGGAGATTGCAGTGAGCCCACATCGCACCATTGCACTCCAGTCTGGGCCACAGAGGGAGAGCCTGTCTCAAGAAAAGAAAAGCCCCGTAGTTTATCATAATGTCTGTACTGGGATATGGCTGATGCTATGCATTTCTGTAAAGTAGCTTTAAAATATTTTCTCCTCTCACTTTTATCTTTTTCCTTTTTTTTTTTTTGAGACAGGGTCTCACTTGGTCACCCAGGCTGTAGTGCAGTGGTGCGATCTTGGCTCACTGCAGCCTCTACCTTCCAGTCTCAGGTGATCCCCCCACCTCAGCCTCTTAAGTAGCTGTTTTTTTTGTTTGTTTGTATGTTTTTAAATTTTATTTATTTATTTATTTATTTATTTATTTATTTATTTTTTGGAGAGATGGAGTCTTGCTCTGTCACCCAGGCTGGAGTGCTGGAGTACAGTGGCGCGATCCACCACTCCCAGCTAATTTCTTTTGTGTTTTAGTAGAGATGGGGTTTCACCATGTTGCCCAGGCTGGTCTTGGAATTCCTGGACTCAAGCAATCTGTCAGACTTGGCCTCCCAAAGTGCTGGGATTATAGGCGTGAGCCACCACCCCCGGCCACCTTTGTCTTAGTGAATGCTATTAAGTTGTTAGGTTAGTGATGTAGTCATACAACTTTTTTTTTTTTTTGAGATGGATTTTCCCTCTTGTCATTCAGGCTGGAGTGCAGTGGCGTGATCTTGGCTCACTGCAGCCTCCGCCTCCTGGGCTCAAGTGATTCTCCTGCCTCAGCCTCCCGAGTAGCTGAGACTACAGACTTGGGCCATCATGCTTGGCTAATTTTTGTATTTTTAGTAGAGACAGAGTTTCACCATATTAGCCAGGCTGGTCTTCAACTCCTGACCTCAGGTAGTCCGCCTGCCTCAGCCTCCCAAAATGCTGGGATTATAGGTGTGAGCCACCGCACCCGGCCAGATATAGACATACAACTTCTAGGAGGGACAAAGGTTGGCATATGATTCACCAGTGTTGTTCCGGGTGGTTGGCTAGATAGCTGTCTAATGGAATCCATTAAGGAGTAGGAAAGAGCAGCAAGAAAAATGGCTATTTTCACTATTTTTGAAATGGTCAGTTAACAGTTTGAGATAGATACATATACTTTTTTGAGACAAGGTCTTGCTTTGTTGGCCAGGCTTGGATTGCATTGATGCAGTAACGATTCACTGCATCCTCAACCTCCCAGGCCCAAATGATCATCCCATCTCAGCCTCCCACTTAGCTGGGCCCACAGCTGTGCACCACAATACCTGGATAATTTAAAAGAACTTTTTTTTCTTTTTCTTTTTCTTTTTTCCCGAGACAAGATCTCAGTATATTACTCAGGCTGGGATGCAGTGTCACATTTATGGCTCACTGCAGCTTTGACCCCCTGGGCACCTCAGCATGCCAAGTAGCTGGGGCTACAGAAGTATACCACCACTTCTGGCTAATTTTTGTAGAGACAGGATTTTACCATGTTGCCCAGGTCTTGAACTCGAGCTCAAGATTCACCTGCCTCGGCCTCCCAAAGTTTTGCGATTACAGGCGTGAGCCACCATGGCTGGCAAAAAAATTTTTTTGGTAGAGGCCTGGTCCCAGCGGATTGCCCAGGCTGATGTTGAACTCCTGAGCTCATGTGATCTTCCCACCAGGTAGCTGGTACCGCCATGACCAGCTAATTAAAACTTTTTTTTTGTGGAGACGGGATCCCACTGTGTTGTCCAGGTAACTCCTGGGTTCAAGCGATCCTCCCACTGTGGCCTCCCCAAAGTGCAGGGATTATAGGCATGAACCACTGCGCCCGGCCAGCTTGATATATTTAGGTATTGATATATCCAAATTGACGAATTGGTTGCCAACAGAACCTCATGGTTCTCTGACTAAATGTTAATGCTAGTCATGGCCCTAAGAACAATTTCAGATGTTCATTTAAATTTATTAAATTGTAGCAAATAATAATGAAAGTCACCATAATTTAACATCCACATGAGTATATCTTGAAAAGACAGACTAATTCATCAGCTACAACAGCAGGCATAAACTGGGATTGTCCTGGGCAACAAACTTGCCTTGTGGTCACCCTACTTAATGGCCATTTGTTACTAGATTTTGTCATTTAGACTCATACAACAGTTTCCTAAACGTTGTCCAGCTTTTTATCACAGAGATAGCTTAGATCTACGTCTCTAGGAGGTTGAATTTTTTTTTTTCAAATGAAGTTAGCCTTTGGCAGAATATAAGTCAAAGGAAAAGTGAAAATTTCCTCCTCCTAGCTCCCTCCCCCACAAATGGGAACGTGCTAGTTAAGGATGTGGTAGTTGCTGAAAATAGAGCTTGCTGGCATTCCAAATCCTCTGATGGTGTCAACACCTAGTGTGTTGGTTTTCTTATGGCTACCTTGAGCCAGTTCTGTGTTTAAAAATATAATAGACCTAGGTGTTGGTAGCAGTGTCCTAAGCTCAGAGCTTTCCCTACATACATTTTATTTTTTTATTTTTACAAGTGTCTTTCATACCAAATACCCACATAAAAATTTAAAGGCTCACCCATATCTTGTTACAACTGTTATGTTTAGAATGCCAAACTGTGTAGTTCAGACCATATGACCATGATCCTGGCTTATCTCTTCTGAAATTTTTATCTTGAATTTATTGCCCTTCCAACAATCTACCATAGTAGCTGGACGGATCTGTTGTTGGTGGGCTTGATTTGTGATCAGATCAGGATTTTATCGAGCTAAAGCAATATGAAATGTGTTTAACTCTTCATTCATATCTAAAGTTTGAAGGAGATGCATTACTGTAAGAGTTATGACAGTATTTCATCATTTGGCAGATGTGGTAAATCTGCCATCACAGAATGCACAGGAATCACTGGGTTCCTTATCTTTCAAATGGGGATTAGTGATGTCTCTCTTGCCTACTAATTTGCAGGGTGGTTATGAAATTTTGGGCTTTTGTAAACTGTAAAGTGTAATACTTGTCGGTACTATTTGTTGTGAAACATTCTTATCTAATGTGAAAGGTCAGATAATTGTTTTTGTTACTGCTGTGCTAGGATCATATTAGATGATAACCTACCTTTTTGAGTTATTCTTAGCAAGTGTAGTCTTCTGGGCTTAGTCCTTATGTAAGATATGCACAAAGAAATATTCTCAAAATCCTTAATCTTACATCTGTAAATTTGCATATCCAAAGTAAAGGTCGTCCAGATTATTCCCAAATAATAATTTTGTCATGTTGAGCTGGTATATAGTTGTTTTGATATTAATTTTAGATTAATAAGAGACTTTCTCCTTAGCAAACGTAACACCTTTTGTCTGAATTTGGGATGAAAGCTGCTGTAATATGAAAATGTAGGCTGGGTGCAGTGGCTCACACCTGTAATCCCAGCACTTTGGGAGGCCAAGTTGGGCGGATCACCTGAGGTCGGGAGTTCAAGACCAGCCTGACCAACATGGAGAAATCCCATCTATACTAAAAAATACAAAATTAGCTTGAAGTGGTGGCAGGCGCTTGTAATCCCAGCTCCTCGGGAGGCTGAGGCAGGAGGTTTGCTTGAACCTGGGAGGCGGAGGTTGCAGTGAGCCGAGATTGTACCATTGCACTCCAGCCTGGGCGACAAGAGCAAAACTCTGTCTCAAAAAAAGAAAGAAAGAAAATGTAAATAATTGGCCAGGTACGGTGGCTCACGGCTGTAATCCCAGGACTTTGGGAGGCCGAGGCGGGCGGACTACGAGGTCAGCAGATTGAGACCATCCTGGCTAACACAGTGAAACCCTGTCTCTACTAAAAATACAAAAAATTAGCTGGGCGTGGTAGCGGGCGCCTGTAGTCCCAGCTGCTCAGGAGGCTGAGGCAGGAGAATGGCATGAACCCGGGAGGCGGAGCTTGCAGTGAGCCAGGATCGCGCCACTGCACTCCAGCCTGGGCAACAGAGCGAGACTCCATCTCAAAAAAAAAAAAAAAGAAAGAAAACGTAAATCATTGTTAAATGTTCGCATTTTAGCCATCTCAGATTACTTAAGAAAAATGGTGTTAGCTATGACCAATTTTGTGAAATGTGATTCTAAAGGCATAATATAAGCCTTGGACAGTGAATGGGTTTTGATTAATAAAAAGCTACTAAATACTACTTAATCCCTGGGTTAGTCAGCTGAAGACTTTGTAGGACCTTGGAGTGGTTGTTGTGAACACCTTTATGTTGAAATTTAAGTGTTTAAATGTTAGTAGGGGCCACGTGCAGTGGCTAATAATCCCTGTAATTCCAATACTTTGGAAGGCAGAGGCGGGAAGATCCCTTAAGCCCAAAAGTTTGAGACCAGCCTGGGCAACATAGTGAGACCCTGTTTCTACAAAAAGAAACAGAATTAGCTTGACCTAGTGGCATGTGTCTGTAGTCTCAGCTACTTGGGAGGCCAAGGTGGTAAGATTTCTTGAGCCCGGGAGGTCGAGGCTGCAGTGAGCCATGATAAGACCACTGCACTCCCACCTGGGTGACATAGTGAGACCCTGTCTCAAAAAGGAAAGGAGAAAGATTTAGTGGGATTAATGACTTGTATTTGATTGTAATAGGTTTACTTGTAAAATAGTTAAGATTTATGATAGGATTACCGTGAAATTTTCAAGAACGTTATTTGACCAGAAAATATTGTCACTGTTGTATGACAGTTATGACAGTTTTTGTAGATTTTTAGAAACACATTCATGAGTATGAAATACTTAATGCAGAATATACTACTTAGGAAACATTAAAATATTAAAGTGTTGAAATTTTGATGGGGGTTTCTTAGCTCATCAAAGAATTGACATACCTGTAATCTCATTGCTTTTGGAGGCCAAGGTGGGAGGTCATTTGAGGCCAGGAGTTTGAGACCAGCCTGGGCAACATTGCAAGACTCCGTTTCTATTAAAAAAAAAAAAAAAAAGGCTGGGCATGGTTTGCTCATGCCTGTAATCCTAGCACTTTTTTTTTTTTTGAGACAGAGTCTTGCTCTGTTGCCCAGGCTGGAGTGCAGTGGCGCTCCACTTGCATCTTGGCTCACTGCAAGCTCCACCTCCTGGGTTCACTCCATTCTCCTGCCTCAGCCTCCGGAGTAGCTGGTACTACAGGCGCCTGCCACCACGCCCGGCTCATTTTTTGTATTTTTAGTAGAGACGGGGTTTCACCGTGTTAGCCAGGATGGTCTTGATCTCCTGATCTCACGATCCGCCCAACTCAGCCTCCCAAAGTGCTGGGATTACAGGCGTGAGCCACAGCGCCTGGCCAATCCTAGCACTTTGGGAGGCCGAGGAGGGCAGATCACGAGGTCAGGAGTTCGAGACAAGCCTGACCAACAGGGTGAAACCTCGTCTCTACTAAAAAAAAAAAAAAAAAAAAAAAACCAACCAAAAAAAAAAACAAAAATTACCCAGGCGTGGTGGTGGCACGTGCCTGTAATCCCAGCTACTCAGGAGGTTAAGGCAGGAGAATCACTTGAACCCGGGAGGCAAAGGTTGCAGTGAGCCGAGATAGTGCCCCTGGGCTCCAGCCTGAACGACAGAGTGAGACTCCGTCAAAAAAAAAAAAAAAAAAAAAGCCAGGTGCAGTGGCTCACTCCTGTAATCCCAGCACTTTGGGAGGCCAAGAAGGGTGGATCACCTGAGGTCAGGAGTTCAGGATCAGGCTGGTGAACATGGTGAGACCCCCCGTCTCTACTAAATATACAAAAAATTAGACGGGCGTGGTGGCGTGCGCTTGTAATCTCAGCTATTCGGGAGGCTGAGGCAGCAGAATCGCTTGAACTCGGGAGGTAGAAAGCTGCAGAATGCCGAGATTGTGGCACTGCACTCCAGCCTGGGAAACAGTAAGACTCCATCCCCGCCTACTGCCCCCACCCCCGCAAAGAAATGCTTAACACTCTCAACCACTTGAGAAAACATGTCAAACTTCTTAAAAATCTGAATGTAAAGTTAATCCTTCTACTAAACCGAATTGGACCCAAGGGTTATTTGTGGTCATTTTCTTCCTTAGTATTCCAAAACAGAATTTTAAAGTATTTTTTGTTTCAGTGTCTTTTCTAATTCCATAAAAACTGTAAAAAGATTCAGACTTTGATCTACCTGTTTTTCCTGTACTTAGTGTTTTAGGTCATTGATCTCCCCAGCCTCTTATTTTCCACCTCAGGTTTCACTGGAGCTTCACCTGTTTGGTTCTACTGCAGCCGAACGTGTTTATGAGGGAGTATCCTCGTAAATTGAGAGGAGAAATCTCCCATTCTGATGGAGCAGGGGATTACTCCCCCACCCCCAATATTTTTATTTTTGTTTTTTAATCTTTGTGTCATTCCAACTTTAGTACATGTGCTGCCAAAGTGAGCACAACCCTGCCCTAAATATTGAGACCAAAGGGAAAAGTAGCTTTTGCAGTCAAAATTGTAGAATCTTGGTAAAAGATTGTCTTGTTTTTGTTTCTTTTTAACCTAGCAAAAGCTGATTTGGAAAGGAGTCTTAAAGTTTCATAGAAGGTTACACAATTCATGTTTTCCTCTTTTTTTTTTTTTTCCTTTTGAGACGGAGTCTCACTCTGTTGCCCAGACTGGAGTGCAATGGCGCGATCTTGGCTCACTGCAGCCTCCACCTCCTTGGTTCAAGTGATTCTCCTGCCTCAGCCTCCTGAGTAGCTGGGATTACAGGCACCTGCCACCATGCCTGGCTAATTTTTGTTTTTTCTTCAGTAGAGACGGGTGTTTCACCGTGTTGGCCAGGCTGGTCTCAAACTTCTGGCCTCAGGTGATCCGCCTGCCTTGGCCTCCCAGAGAGCTGGGATTATAGGCGTGAGCCACCGTGCCTGGCTCATGTAGTTACTTTTAGAGTGAGGAGAGGTACCTCTGTATAGGCTGGTATATGAAGAGTAAAAGTTGTCCTTGAGTGTCAAGATTATTGTCTTTTGAAAAGCCTTAATCAAAGTATTAAAGTACTAAAAAACAAGTTCCCAAACTCATTTGACAAATACTTACTGAATGCCGACTATGTACCAGGCACTGTTCTAGACACTTTAGACACTTGGGATTCATCAGTGAACAAAATAGACAAAAGATCTTTTCAAGGACTTTATATTCTAGTGAATGTATGATTGCTTTCGGAGTTACTCTGTTCCTATGTGTAATTAAGAGTTAGTTTAAATTAATTAGCACCAATGGTGTCTGGTATATGCAGGGTACTGTATCAGTTGCTGGGTGTCCCATGTTAAAGACTGTAGAAAGCTCAGTGTTTCTTCACTGACTACTGGTGTAAAATGGTACTAACAAATTGAAAAACCTCTTTAAAGTGTTTCATTGTGATGAAACCCTGTAATAATAATATCATCTACTGTTTATTGGCTATTTCTTTCACTTGTTATCCAAACAGCCATGCAAAGTACTACCCATTTTACAGATAAGGATCCAGTACTTGAGGAAAAGTGACAACACATTTGAAATGTCACTGGTATTCTGCCAAGGCTGGTGCCCTGCAAAGCTGGTACTCCTTCCACTTCGGAAGGAGTTTCTTGTGTGTAAACGTCAGTCCAGACTGCTTGAGGCTTTCTTTTCTTTTTTTCCCCCTTTTTTGTGGAGACTGGGGGTCTCTGTGTTGCCCAGGCTGGTCTTTCAGCTGGGCTCAAGAAGTCCTCCTGCCTTGGCCTCCTAAAGTGCTGGGATTATAGCAGTCTTTTGGCTCAGCTTCTCTCTGAATAGTGTTGTCTTTAATGTATGAAGAAGACAGAATGGAATGTAGGCTGAGTATATTTTGCAGGTAACAGGTAATGGAACTAGTATTGGGATAGGAGCCATTAAATTCAGGAGCAGGCCACCTGCATCCTCCGTCTTCCTTCCTTCCCTCCTCCCCCACCCTCTGAAAAACCTACTTTGTTTTTAACTCTTTGATACATGCAGGGGTCCCCAGTGCCCAGGCCATGCACCCATACTGGTCTGTGGAAAAATTGTCTTCCACGAAACTGGTCCCTGGTGCCACAAAGGTTGGGGACCACTGATATTTGGGACTAGAGCTTTATAAATGGCTGGATAAGAAGCTCTGGGAACTTAGTAAATTGCAGTATGGTGTACTTTTTCGTTGTGTACCTTTTCAGTAGATGACTTTTGAGGCATGTAGTTGGGAGGCCTGGGGGACTGATCACAGGGGACCTTGGTGTTTTCCTCTAGACCAGTTGCTGGTAGATTTTCATCTTCTCAACAATGAATAACTGCACATCATTAACATGGTCTTAATGCCTTTATCTTATTGCTGCAGATTTTTTCTTAACCTTTAACTTTTCTGGTTTCAGAATGCTGCCAACATTTCTGTATTCATTTTATCTTTACTTTTTTTTTTTTTTTTTTTGAGACAGAGTCTTTCCCTGTCACCCAGGGTGGAGTGCAGTAGAGGGTGAGCTTCAGCCAAGGAGTGTTATGGTCATGCCTGTGAATAGCCACTGCAAGGCAGCCAGGGCAACATAGGGAGACTCCTCTAAAAAGAAAAAACAAACCTGAAACTGATTTTAAAAAAAATTTCTTTGGGAGGCCAAGGCAGGCAGATCATCTGTGGTTGGGAGTTCAGGACCAGCCTGACCAACATGGAGAAACCCGTCTCTACTAAAAATACAAAAAAAAATTAGCCAGGCTTCGTGGCGCATGCCTCTAATCCCAGCTACTCCCAGGAGGCGGAGGCAGGAGAATCTCTTGAACCCGGGAGGCGGAGGTTGCAGTGAGCCGAGATAGCGCCATTGCACTCCAGCCTGAGCAACAAGAGAAAAACTCTGGGCTGGGCGCAGTGGCTCACTCCTTTAATCCCAGCACTTTGGGAGGCTGAAGCGGATGGATCATAATGTCAGGAGTTCAAGACCAGCCTGGTGAAACCCTCAAAATACAAAATACACTCCATTATCCTGCCTCAGCCTCCTGAGTAGCTGGGAGTACAGGTGCCTGCCACCATGCCTGGCTAATTTTTTTTGTATTTTTAGTAGAGACAGGGTTTCACCGTGTTAGCCAGGATGGTCTTGATCTCCTGACGTTGTGATCTGCCCGCCTTGGCCTCCCAAAGTGCTGGGATTACAGGCGTGAGCCACCGCGCCCGGTCGAGCATAAATCTTTTTACATGTGTACTCTTAATGTTTTGAGATGTGGTCTCACTCTTGCCCAAGCTGGTGTGCAGTAGCAGACACACCTCACTGCAGCCCTCACCTCCTGGGCTCAAGCAATCCTCCCACCTCTGCGTCCTGGGTAGCTGGGACTACAGGTGTGCCCACCATGCCTGGCTAATTTATTTTTTATTTTTATTTTTTTGAGACAGGGTCTTGCTCTTTCTCCCATGCTGGAGAGCAGTGGCTGGATCTTGGCTCACTGCAGCTTTCGCCTCCTGGGTTCAAGCAGTTCTCTGCCTCATCTTCCCGAGTGGCTGGGATTACAGGCACCTGCTTAACGCGTGGCTAATTGTTTTGTATTTTTAGTAGAAATGGGGTTTCACCATGTTGGCCAGGTTGGTCTTGAACTCTTGACCTTGTGATCCACGTGCCTCGGCCTCCCAAAGTGCTTGAATTACAGGCGTGAGCCACTGTGCCCAGCCCTCTTCGGCTAATTTTTTAAATGTGTGAAGAGATGGGGTCTTGCCATATTGCCCAGGCCGGTCTTGAACTCTTGGGCTCAGGAAATCTTCCCACCTCAGCCTCCCAAAGTGCGGAGATTGCGGGAATACTCTATTTTCTGAAAAGGTTTATTAACTGTTTATAATACTAGCAACTTACGATTGTGCAGCACAAAATTTAACTAAAAACTTGTGTTTTAAAAAATTGTTTAAACAAGGGCCGGGTGCAGTGGCTCACACCTGTAATCCTAGTACTTTGGGAGGCCGAGGCGGGTGGATCACCTGAGGTCAGGAGTTCAAGACCAGCCTGGCCAACATGGCGAAACCCATCTCTACTAAAAATACAAAAACTTGCCGGGCGTGGTGGCACGTGCCTGTAATCCCATCTTCTGGTAGGGGCTGAGACAGGAGAATTGCTTGAACCCGGGAGGTAGAGGTTGCCAGGAGCTGAAATTGTGCCACTGCACTCCAGCCGGGGCAACAGACCAAGACTCCGTCTCAAAAAAAAAAAAAAAAGTTAAACAGTATGTGAAATAGTTTTTCCATTTCTTTTTTTAAACGGAGTTTCGCTCTTGTTGCCCAGGCTGGAGTGCAATCGCGCGATCTCAGCTCGCGGAAACCTCGTCCTCCCAGGATCAAGCAATTCTCCTGCCTCAGCCCCCAGAGTAGCTGGGATTACAGGCATGCGCCACCATGCCTGTCTAATTTTGTATTTTTAGTAGAGATGGGGTTTCTCTATGTTGGTCAGGCTGGTCTCGAACTCTCGACCTCAGGTGATCCATGTGCCTCGGCCTCCCAAAGTGCTGGGATTACAGGCGTGAGCCACCACGACCAGCCAGTTTTTCCACTTTTGTTTTGCCTTTTTTTTTTTTTTCTTTCTTGAGACGGAATCTTGCTTTGTCACCTGGGCTGGAGTGCAGTGGCATGAGGTCAGCTCACTGCAACCTCAGCCTCCCAGGTTCAAGCAATTCTCCTTCCCCAGCCTCCCAAGTAGCTGGAATTACAGTCATATGCCAACACACCTGGATAATTTTTGTATTATTAGTAGAGATGGGGTTTCGCCAGGTTGGCCAGGCTGGTCTCGATCTCCTGACCTCAAGTGATCCGCTGGCCTCAGCCTCTCAAATTGCTGGGAATACAGGTATGAGCCACCGCACCTGGCCTGTTTTTCATTTCTTACTGCAAAAGATGAATTTAAATGTAAAGTCAGCAGTACAGCCATATCAAGTAAATAATGAAAACTACTGGCCAGGCGTGGTGGCTCACGCCTGTAATCCTAGCACTTTGGGAGGCCGAGGCGGGTGGATCACAGGGTCAGGAGATTGAGATCATCCTGGCTAACATAGTGAAACCCCGTCTCTACTAAAGATACAAAAAAAAAATTAGCCTGGCCTGGTGGTGGGCGCCTGTAGTCCCAGCTACTTGGGAGGCTGAAGCAGGAGAATGGCCAGAACCCGGGAGGCGGAGCTTGCCGGTAGAGCTTGCAGTGAGCTGAGATTGCGCTGCTGCACTGTAGCCTGGTCAACAGAGTGAGACTCCATCTCAAAAAAAAAAAAAAGGCCGGGCGCGGTGGCTCAAGCCTGTAATCCCAGCACTTTGGGAGGCCGAGGCGGGCAGATCATGAGGTCAGGAGATCGAGACCATCCTGGCTAACACGGTGAAACCCCATCTCTACTAAAAATACAAAAAATTTGCCGGGCATGGTGGTGGGCGCCTGAAGTCCCAGTTACATGGGAGGCTGAGGCAGGAGAATGGCGTGAACCCGGGAGGCGGAGGTTGCCGTGAGCCGAGATTGCGCCACTGCACTCCAGCCTGGGTGACAGAGCGAGACTCCATCTCAAAACAAACAAACAAAAAAACTACTACTTATGCCGCAAGTAACTTGTCAGTGGTTTGAGTCTCCTTTAATAACTTTTTCTTTGCTCCAGTGCCTATATATCTGTGTTTTTTTTTCCTTTTCTGTCTGCCTGTCTTTTTTTTTTTTTTTTTTTTTTTGACATAGTGTCGCTCTCTCGTGCAGGCTGGAGTACAGTGGGCCAGTCTGGGCTCACTGCAGCCTTGACCTCTCACGTTCCAGTGATCCTCCCACCTCAGTCCTATGCCTGGGACTGCAGGCATGCACCACCAGGCCTGGCCAATTTTTGTATTTTTTTGTAGAGACAGGGTTTCGCCATGTCTCCTAGGCTGGTCTTGAACTCCTGAGTTGAAGCGATCCACCCGCGTTGGCCTCCCAAAGTGCTGGGATTACAGGCCTGAGCCTTTGCGCTCGGCCTTCCTCAGTGCATTTATGTTACGTTTTGATTAGTTGATAGTTT
The DNA here is from genome assembly GCF_000001405.40 of Homo sapiens. NCBI lineage: Eukaryota > Metazoa > Chordata > Mammalia > Primates > Hominidae > Homo > Homo sapiens. The sequence continues at coordinate 1,381,590 of NC_000017.11, read as the reverse complement.
GAAATTCCCCTCCCCCCTTTACATGCATTCTTGAGCCTTTCGTGTTTTATTTACTTATTTTTTTGAGTTTATTGATTTATTTGGAGATGAGTCTTGTCCTGTTGCCCATGCTGGAGTGCAGTGACACAATCTCAGCTCACTGCAACCTCCACCTCCCGGGTTCAAGGGATGCTCGTGCTTCAGCCTCCTGAGTAGCTGGGATTACAGCCACCACGCCTGGCTAATTTTTTGTGTTTTTAGTAGAGTCGGGGTTTCTCCATGTTGGTCAGGCTGGTCTCGAACTCCTGACCTCAGGTGAGTCACCCGCCTCAGCCTCCAAAAGTGCTGGGATTACAGGCGTAATCCCACCACACCCGGACTAATTTTTGTATTTTTAGTGGAGGTGGGGTTTCGCCATGTTGGCCAGGCCAGTCTGTAACTCCTGACCTCAAGTGATTGTTAGCCTCCCGAAGTTCTGGGATTACAGACGTGAGCCACTGCGCCCAGCCTCTTGGACCATTTAATCAATATGTATTTCTTTAGCATGTATGGGGAACAACTTTCCCCTTGTGAGTAATAAAATCGTTACTTATAATACCTACTATGGAAGAGTTACAGTCTAATCAGGCAAGCTGTGGCTAGAAACCAGAATGATGATTTCTAGCTTGTATAATACAGGAATTGTAGAGAAGGGGAACAAGGGATTGTGTGCTGCAGTTGTCGGGGAAAACTTGAATAGTAGGTGAGACATTAATTGGGGGATAAGATTTGGATGTTGGGAGAGTGAGGTTCTTTGGATATGTTACCAAAAGCACAGATATGGGATTAAATATATGAGATGTAAGAATGGAAAGTCTGGGTTAGAAAAAATGGAGCTGTATTCTGCAAAAGGCTTTATTAGACTTAGATTCTAAACGCTGTGTTCTTTATTTAGCTCTTTCCTACATCAGGCACATTAACACCCCCACCCGTCTGGATTCCGGTTTTGTTTTTTTGTTATTTAATCTTGGAAGTGAGGCGAAGAAAAGAAATTAAACATTTAATTGAATTCATATTATATGCCAGACAATTTACTCTACAATCTCATTTTAAACTCTCATAACTCAGGGCTGGATATCCTCCATGTTATGGATGAGGAACAAGCTCCTAGAGATTATGTGGCATACTTGAGGTCAAATAGCATATGAATAAGCAGGAATGAAAATCTAGTCTGGGCTGGGCGCGGTGGCTCACGCACTTTGGAAGGCTGAGGCAGGCAGATCACCTGAGGTCACGAGTTCGAGACCATCCTGGTCAACATCGTGAAACCTCACCTTTACTAAAAATACAAAATTTAGCTGGGCATGGTAGTGTGCGCCTGTAATCCCAGCTACTTCGGAGGCTGAGGCAGGAGACTCTTGAACCCGGGAGGCGGAGGTTGCAGTGAGCCGAGATCGTGCCAGTGCACTCCAGCCTGGGCGACAGAGTGAGGCTCCGTCTCAAAAAAAAAAAAAAAAAAAAGTCTAGTCTTCTAGTCTGAAACTCTTTGCTGTAAGTGTGGTGTTTGCTGTGCTGTGGTGGGACTTTCCTGTGCTGTTTCCCAAAGTGTGTGTCATTTTTGTCTAATAAAAGTGCACGTGGTATGTGGGTACTACAATAATAGTCAAAGTTAGTAGACTAGAATAGGGCCTCTTCAGAAAAGCTTCTGAGTACTTCCATTATTTTCTGTTTACAGCATTCTGGTTCTTTCACCGTACTGAACACAAAGTATAATTTACATGTCAACCAACTAATCCTGTTCATTTTACACAATTTTAAATCTTTGCTTAAATTAAAACAAGTTCCAGGAGTGTTTCCTAAATCTTGTCCAACTGTTTACCTCAAGTACTCCTTCCTTCATAACTCATCGTAACACGCTCCAGGGTACATCCCAGCCTTTTGCTCATCTTAATTGAGTAGAACTAGTGATCACTATTCTTGCATTTTGTTTTTCTAAGAAAATATGATTTAAGACTCCTCAAGCTACAGATTTGACATTTTGTTACATTCTTAGATTCTTTCCATGTTATTTACTATTAGAATTAGTGTAGTTGATAGTTTTTTTCGTCATTCGAATTAGAAGTTTTGCATGTATGAAATCTTCTTTTGAGGCAGAGTCTTGCTTTCTTTGCCCAGGCTGGAGTGCAGTGGCGTGATCACAGCTCATTGCAGCCTTGACTTCCTGGGCTCAGTTGATCCACCCACCTCAGCCTCCAGAGTAGCTGGGACTATAGGTGTGTGCCACCACGCCCGGCTAATTTTTTATATTTTAGTAGAGATGGAGTTTTGCCGTGCTCCCCAGACTGGGCTTAGACTCCTCAGCTCAAGCAGCCTGCCCGCTTCATCCTCCCAAAGTGTTGGGATTACAGGCGTGAGGCCATGTAAAATCTGAAGTGTGTCTTAACATCCCATAGGGCTCTTAGGTGATTTGGAAGTACACTGACATGAGTATAGTCAACCTTAAAGTGATGACATCGCAAACTTTAAGCAGGCTTCAAGCAGCTGAATTAATTATGATAAAATTAAAATTGCCAAATTTGGGCAGAGATTTAATGTTTAAAAACCAGTATAATTCAGGTTAGCCATCTGAGAATGTTTTGTAACTTTCTTGGGGATCATACTGAATTTCTTTTTTTTTTTTTTTGAGACAGAGTTTTGCTCTTGTCGCCAGGCTGGAATGCAATGGCATGACCTTTGCTCATTGCAACTTCCTTCGCCTCCCAGGTTCAAGCGATTCTCCTGCCTCAGCCTCCCGAGTAGCTGGGATCACAGGTGTGTGCCACCATGCCCAACTAATTTTTGGTATTTTTAGTAGAGACGGGATTTCACCATGTTGGCCAAGGCCGGTCCTGAACTCCTAACCTCAGGTGATCCACCCGCCTTGGCCTCTCAAAGTGCTGGGATTACAGGCGTGAGCCGCCGTGCCTGGCCTGTACTGAATTTCTTTTATAGTAAACGAGTAGTATTGCTCCTGAAATGGTCTGAGTCAGGCTTTTTAGACATGCTTTTTAGTACAGAACTGATGCTTCCCAGATTATTTGTCAGTGTGATAGAGAAGGTGCGTGATAATCGTTTTAGAAAAAATTTTGCTCCATCTTTATATTTCTGAATAGTAACAAGAGAGTTGTCATGTGACTAGCAAGATATTGGGACCTTTTAGAAATCAGTAAGGCAGAATGTTGATTGTCATGAATTATCTGTGAATTGACTATGTTTAGTGATTGTCAAGCTTTTGCCTAATTTTATTCATTCCTTGGAGGTTGTCCAAGCTGAATCAGATTATTTGAAAGCCACACAATTCCTGAGCATTCTCATATGTCAGCCTTCTGCAGAAATGTCCTCAGTTATTTCATGGGGTCAGAAGTATCCAATTGAAGACTGCTTCTCACATGTAAATCTAGGCATACATTTTCTGTGATGACTCCTTTTTAAGAAAATATCCGCAAGGTAAATTTCTTAGTAAGTAGCACCTTGTAAGTTTCTCTCCAACAAACTTGCATACTATCCCCTCCAAACCATAAAAACAATTTGAGACTTTTATTTTGAGACGGAGTCTCACCTCTGTTGCCCAGGCTGGAGTGCAGTGACGCGATCTTGGCTCACTGCAACCTCCGCCTCTCGGGTTCAAGCAATTCTCCTGCCTCAGCCTCCCGAGTAGCTGGGATTACAGGCACCCGCCACCATGCCCAGCTAATTTTTGTATTTTTAGTAGAGACGGGGTTTCACCATGTTGGCCAGGCTGGTCTCGAACTCCTGACCTCAGGTGATCCACCTGCCTCGGCCTCCCAAAGTGCTGGGATTACAGGCATGAGCCACTGCTTCCAGCCAGGAAGTCTTTACATAGTAAGACATTTGAGTTTGATCCAGAGGGATGATGTTTCCTAGGAAAAAGGAAAGGTCATTGGCTAATTGATTAGCCTTTATATAAAGCAAGCTCAGGACCTTTCCAGAACCTAAGTGACTGAACTCTTTCTTTTTGAGAGACAGAGTCTTGCTCTGTTGCCCAGGGTGGAGTGCAGTGGCATGATCATAGCTCACTGTGGCCTCGGACTCCTGGGCTCAAGCGATCTTCCTGTCTCAGCTTCTGGAGTAGCTGGGACTGACTACAGGTGTGAGCCACATTTCCGGTTCTGACAGAACCTTTTTATGTCAGTGCCTGATGCTGTGCCCTTTTCTTCCCTTGGTGTGATTGCTTTTACTGTTCTTGGGCTAAGGAATTTGTTTCTGTGAGCACTCTGGTTGCAAAGTCATTGAAGTGTGATGGCTAAAAGCTCAGACTCTTAAGTTAGATTGTCTGGGTTTGAGTTTGGGTTTTACCATTGTGTGACTTTAGGAACATTACTCTTAGCTTCATTTTTCTGCCCTTAAAATCAGGATTAGGGCCGGGTGTGGTAACCCCTGCCTGTAATCCCACCACCTAGGGAGGCCGAGGCAGGTGGATCACCTGAGGTCAGGAGTTCGAAACCAGTCTGGCCAACATGGTGAAACCCTGTCTTTACTAAAAATATAAAAATTAGCCGTGCACGTTGGCGGGCACCTGTAGTCCTAACTACCAGGGAGGCTGGGGCAAGAGCATCACTTGAACATGGGAGATGGAGGTTGCAGTGAGATTGCACTTCAGCCTGGGCAACAGAGCTAGACTCTGTCTCAAAAAAAAAAAAAAAAGTTAGGGTTATGACCCTGTGTGCTTTGGTAAGAGGAACATTAATCCTGTCAGCCAGTACAGAACCTGCTCGTTTTTCCCATGGCAGATTCTGAACAGTTTGCTTTTTTCCTGACCCTGAATTTCATTAGGAGCTGTAAATTGTGCCTTGTGACTTGTCAGCCTGATAGTTGGAGACCTGCTCCTTTTATGATTTTGTACTTTGTGTTTATCAGAAACTGTTGAAGCTCAGCAGAGACTTGTTTTACTACCTGGCAAGGACAGTCTTGGGAAAATCAGGTTTACTGGGATGTTGATGTAAAGATATTAGAGGTATGAAACTAAGCTTTTTGTATTCAGGAGGCTGAGGTGGGAGGATTGCTTGAGCCCAGGAGTTGGAGACCAGCCTGGGCAACATACAAAGACTCCCGTCTCTTTAAGAGAAAAGAATAAAGTAAGCTTTTTTTGGGAGAGGGGTGAACCTCTAGGTGGAAAAAGAAATGCGTTTTAAGCAGGAGTGAACTTCTTTCCTTCTTTTCTTTTCTTTCTTTCTCTCTCTTTCTTTTTCTTTCTTTCTGTCTGTCTGTCTGTCTTTCTTGTCTTTCTGTCTGTCTTTCTGTCTTCGTTCTTTCTCTCATGGTGGCAGACGCCACCATGCCTGGGTCTCAACCACATTTTAGTATGTGAAACTTGTTTCTCTGGTAGAGTCACTGAAACCAGTTATTTCCCCTCTATTGTCACAGAAGCAAACAAAAGGATCCTCGTACAGATGCATTCAAATAAATATTCAAATCTGAGGCAATATGATTAAATCAAAGCACAACTCAAGTCAGATTCCCTGAGTTGTAGTCCACTGGCTTTGTGATCTGGAACAAGTTTAACCTTCGTGTTCTTCAGTATATGGAGATATTCTAAAATGGGATAATACTGGTACCCACTTCAGAGGTCTGTTGAGAAGATTAAGCACATTAATACAGCGAAGCATTTGGAACAGTGCCTATTTTAGCATGGGGGGTTTTATTTGTGAATAAGTCTGTTGAATGAACAACATAGTTGAAATGGGGTGTTTTATTTATGAATTAGTCTGTTGAATGAACAACATAGTTGAAAGAACACAACCACAAACCAAACCTCAGTTAACAAGTCAAGGGGAAAAACTTGTGACTCTACTGGCAGCAGCAGATGATGGGTGTCCCAGACACAAGCTGGTTCCATGTGGTGGATCTGTGTCTAGGCTATTACCATACAATGAAGGGAAACTTACTTGGAACTAAAGAGACTTAACTATGTTTAATTAACTTGTGAGGAGTATGTTTTTCAGAGTGGCGATTTTAATCACCCACCCTTGTCCCCAAACCATGAAAAGTCCCAGAAATTCGATTTTGTTACTCAAAATTACTGTAGCAAAACTGCCCGTGGATCCAAAAGAAGTGATTTCAACCATTTCAGTTTTTTGGTTCTTAAATTGCGATCCCACCTGCTGCAAACACATGACAGCCTTCCCCCACCCGTGAAATGCCCACATCCCACTGATAAAATACTTGCCGCAAAGGTGATTTCAGGAAATGCTAGTTGTGTTGAGGGCCTTTATGTGAATATAATGGTTGGAGTTCATCCTCTACTGAGGGAGGGCTGAAGGGTGTAGTTAGTCTAGAGTTTTGGATAAATCAGCTTTTCTTATATAGTTTTGGGGTACATTATCATTAGTATTATGTTTCTGTTGCTGGTGTTAAAAGGATAAAGATGACAGTGATATTGGAAGAGAGTGTCATTGTAGTCGTTATTTGTACAAACTGGTACAAAGCACTGGTCGTAGAATGTTTGGAGAGATTGAGAAGTTGACTTTCCATACTCTTGAAGGAGTGATGTGCTTGGTAGTGTGCACCTATAGTCCCAGTTACTTGGGAGGCTGAGGTGGGAGGATCACTCGAGGCCAGGAGTTTAAGGCTACATAGTGCGCTGTGATCATGGGCCTGTGAATAGCCACTGCACGACATACAGTCAGGGCAACGTAGTGAGACCCTGTCTCTTGAAGCAATAGAAGTGTCTCCTGACTCAATGCTACTTCTGTTCCTTAATCTGCTACCTTAAGGGATGCAGAGGGGGTTGGGGGAATTAAGAGGAGTCAGTGGGGTTTTAAAAATGAACAACTCCTACATACCAATAATGAAAAGACAAATAATTAAATATTTGGCAAAGTGTTTGAATAGATATTTCTCCAGAGAACATACGCAAAAGGCTCATAAGCACATGAAAAGGTGTTCAACACTATTAGTTATCAAGGAAATGCAAATCAAAACCACAAAGAGATACAGCTTCACACCCACTAGGATGACTAGTTTAAAGAATAACTAACAAGTGTTCCTGAGGACGTGGCCAGATTAGAATCCTGTGTTGCTGGTGGGAGTGTAAAAACGGTGCCGCTCCTGTAGAAAAGTTTGGGATGTCCTTCCTCAAAAAGCTAGTTACCATGTGATCCTGAAGTTCCTTCTAGGTGTATACTGAAGTGAACTGAAAGCATTTATTCATACAAAAACTTAAAGAACGTTCGTAGCAGCATTGTTTATAATAGTCCAAAAATGGAAACAACCCAAATGTTCATTAACTAACGAATGGATTTTTTTTTTTTTTTCCTGAGACCAAGTCTCGCTCTGTTGCCAGGCTGGAGTTCAGTGGCACGATCTCGGGTCACTGCAACCTCCGCCTCCCGTGTTCAAGCAGTTGTCCTGCTTCAGCCTCCCGAGTAGCTGGGATTACAGACATTCGCCTAGACATCATGGCAGCCTAATTTTTGTATTTTTAGTAGAGACGGGGTTTTGCCATGTTTTGGCCAGGCTGGTCTGAACTCCTGACCTCAGGTAATCCACCTGCCTCCCAGAGTGCTGGGATTGTAGGCGTGAGCCACCGCACCTGGCCTAATGAATGGATTTTTAAAGCATAGTATATCCATACAGTAGGTGAAGTACTGATGCATGCTACACTAGGCATGAAACTTGAGACCATGCTATGGGAAAGAAGCCAGTCACAGCCGACTCCATACGGTAGGTTGTGTTGGGAAAGAAGCCAGTCATGGGAGGCTCCATACTGTATGGCTCTGTTCGTAGGTACACCCTGTTTGATTGTGCTTCACAGATACTACATTTTTACAGAACAAATGGAAGGTTTCTGGAACCCGCTTTGAGCAAGTCTGTTGGTGCCATTTTCCAACAGCAGGTGCTCACTTCTTGTCTCTGTTCACATTTTGGTACCTTGTGCAGTATTTCAAACTTTTCTTTTTTTTTTTTGAGATGAAGTCTCACTCTGTCACCCAGGCTGGAGTGCAGTGCCACGATCTCTACTCACTACAAGCTCCGCCTCCCGGGTTCACGCAATTCTCCTGCCTCAGCCTCCCGAGTAGCTGGGACTACAGGCGCCCGCCACCATGCCTGGCTAATTTTTTATTGTATATTTAGTAGAGACGGGGTTTCACCGTGTTAGCCAGGATGGTCTCCATCTCCTGACCTTGTGATCTACCCTTCTTGGCCTCCCAAAGCGCTGGGATTACAGGCGTGAGTCCACCTCGCCCGGCCTCAAACTTTTCATTACATGTTAATGGTGGTTATCTGTGATCAGTAATCTTTGACGTTACTATTGTAATTGTTTTGGGGATCCGTGAACTGAGGGAAATTAATTGATAGATGTGTGTATTCCTTTTTTTGCTTGTTTTTTGAGACTGAGTTTCGCTCTTGTTGCTTAGGTTGGAGTGTAAGGGCGCCATCTTGGCTCACCGCAAGTTCCGCCTCCTGAGTTCAAGCGATTCTCCTGCCTCAGCGTCCCGAGTAGCTGGGATTACAGGCACGCGCCCCCATGCCTGGCTAATTTTTTTGTATTTTTAGTAGAGACAGGGTTTCTCCATGTTGGTCAGGTGGTCTCGAACTCCCGACCTCATGTGATCTGCCCGCCTTGGCCTCCCAAAGTGCTGGGATTACTGCGTGAGCCACCATGCCTGGCCTGTGTTCTTTTACTATTAATTTTTGGAGACAGGGTCTCACTCTGTCACCCAGGCAGGAATGCTCACTGCAGCCTTGACCTCCCAGGCTCCAGCAATCCTCCTGCCTCGGCCTCCTGAGAAGCTGGGACGACAGGCACACATCACCATGCCTGGCTAGTTTTTGTATTTTTTGTAGAGATAGGGTCTCACCTGTTGCCCAGGCTGGTCTTGAACTCCTAGGCTCACATGATCTTCCTGCCTTCGGCCTCCCAAAGTATTGGGATTACAGGCGTGAGCTCTTGTTTGTGTTCTGACTCCCTGTCTCTCTCCCTCCCGTTAGGCTTACCTATTACCTGAAACATAACAATATTTAAATTAGGCCGATTAACAACCCTGCAATTGCTTCTAAGTGTTTAAGAGAAAGGAAGAGTCCCAGTCTCTCACTTTAAATAAAAAGGTAGAAATGATGAAGCTGAGTCAGGAAGGCTACCTTAAAAGCCGAGACACGGTCTGAAAGCTGGGCCTCTTGCACCACAGTTGTGAATGCAAAGGAAAAGTTCTTCAAGGAGATTAAAAAGTGCTAGTCCAGTGAACACAGCAATGATGAGAAAGCAAAACAGCCTTCTTGCTGACAGAAAGTTTTGGTGGTCTGAATAGAAGATCAAACCTGCCATACTATTCCCTTAAGCCAAAGCCTAATTCAGACCAACCCTCTAACTCTCTTCAAATTTAAGAAAGCTGAGAGAGGTGAGAAAGCTACAGATAGAAAGCTGGAACCTAGCAGAGGTTGGTTAGTAAGGTTTAAGGAAAGATGCCATCTCCATTACTTAAAAAGTACAAGGTCGGCTGAGCGCGGTGGCTCACGCCTGTAATCCCAGCGCTTTGGGGGGCCGAGGCGGACGGATCACGAGGTCAGGAGTTTGAGACCAGCCTGGCCAACATGGTGAAACCCTGCCTGTACTAAAAATACAAAAAATTAGCTGGGCGTGGTGGCAGACGCCTGTAATCCCAGCTACTCGGGAAGTTGAGGCAGGAGAATCGCTTCAGCCCAGGAGACGGAGGTTGCAGTGAGCTGAGACGTTGTGACAGCACTCCAGCCTGAGCGACAAAGTGAAATTCTGTCTCAAAAAAAAAAAAAAAAAGTACAGGGTCAAGTAGCATGTGCTGATGTAGATGCTGCAGCAAATTATCCAGATTTAGCTAACATTATTGATGGTGACCACACCACTTAGATTTTCAGCGTAGACAAAACAGCCTTGTGTTAGAAGAAAATGCTGTCTAGGACTTCACTTAACTAGAGAGAAGTCAGTGTGTCTAGCTCCATAGGACAGGCTGATGCAGCTTCTTAGGGACTAATGCAGCTGGTGAATTTAAATTGAAACCAGTGCTCATTGACTGTTTGAAAAATTTGAGGCCTCTTTAAGAATCATGCTAAATTTACTCTGCCTGGTTTATAAATGGAACAGCAAAGCCTGTAAGACAGCACTTATGTTTACAGCATGGTTTTCTGAATATCTTAAGCCCACTGTTGAAGCTTGGTACTCAGAAAAAAAAAAAATTCCCTTCAATGTATTACTGCACATTGAAAATGCACCGAGGTTGGGTGCAGTGGTGCACATTTGTAATTTCAGCACTTTGGGAGGCCGAGATGGGTGGGTCACATGAGCACAAGAGTTCAAGACCAGCCTGAGGAACATGGCAAAACCCTGTCTTTACAAAAAAATAATAAAAATTAGCTGGGCGTAATGGCGTACACCTGTAGTCCCAGCTACTCAGGAGGCTGAGGTTGGAGGATCGCTTGAGCTGGGGAGGTTGAGGCTGTAGTGAACTGAGATGGTGCCACTGTATCATCTTGGGTGACAGAGTGTGACTCTGTTTCAAAACACACACACACTACCACACACTCACACACAGTACTTGGTCACCCTGGAGCTCTGATGTAGTTGTGTAAGGAGAGCAATGTTTTTTGATTTTTTATTTTTTGAGAAGGAGTCTCGCTGTGTCGCCCAGGCTGGAGTGCAGTGGCACTATCTCAGCTCACTGCAGCTCCGCCTCCCGGGTTCACACCATTCTCCTGCCTCAGCCTCCTGAGTAGCTGGGACTACAGGCGCCCGCCACCATGCCCGGCTGATTTTTTTTTGCACTTTTAGTAGAGACGAGGTTTTCACCTTGTTAGCCAGGATGGTCTCCATCTCCTGACCTCGTGATCTGCCCACCTCGGCCTCCCAAAGTGCTGGGATTACTAGGCGTGAGCCACCGCTCCCAGCCTGCAATGTTGTTTTTATGCCTGTTAACACAGCAGGTAGGCAGATCACCTGAGGTCAGGAGTTTAAGACCAGCCTCACCAACATGCTGAAACCCCGTCTCTACTAAAAATAGAAAAGTTAGCCGGGCGTGGTGGCGCCCACTTGTAGTCTCAGCTACTTGGGAGGCTGAGGCAGGAGAATTGCTTGAACCCTGGAGGCAGAGGCTGCAGTGAGCCGAGATTGTGCCACTGCCTGGGCTACAGAGCAAGACACTGTCTCAAAAACAAAAAACAAAAAGTTGTTCTGGCCAGTCGCGGTGGCTCACGCCTGTAATCCCAGCACTTTGGGAGGCCAAGGCGGGCGGATCACAAGGTCAGGAGATCGAGACCGTCCTGGCTAACATGGTGAAACCCCGCCTCTACTAAAAATACACACAAAAAAATTCACTGGGCATGGTGACGGGCGCCTGTGGTCCCAGCTACTCGGGAGGCTGAGGCAGGAGAATGGCGTGAACCTGGGAGGCGGAGCTTGCAGTGAGCCGAGATCACGCCCAGGCACTCCAGCCTGGTGACAGAGCGAGACTCCGTCTCAAAAAAAAAAAAAAAAAAAAAAAAAAGTTTTTCTGTGGGTAAATGCTGTCCAACAGCGTCAGATGCTACAGAGAAATCATGCAGGAAAGGAAAAGCCCATCAACATGGCAGACTTCATTGTCTTGCCACGGCCACTCCAGCCTTCAGCAGCCATCACCCTAAGCAGTCAGTAGCCATCAACATCAAGGCAAAAACCTTCCAACAGCAAAATATTATCACTTGCTGAAGGCTCAGATGAGCATTAGCATTTATTAGCAATAAGGTGTTTTTAAATTATGTACAGTTTAGACATAATGCTGTTGTACACTTAATAGATTACAGTGTAGTTTAAACATAACTTTTCTATGCACTGGGAAACACAAAAATTCATGTGACTTGCTTTATTGCAATATTTTTTTTTGCAGTGCTCTGGAACTGAACCCGCAGTATCTTCCAAGGTATGCCCGCACCTGAAATGTGCATAAGAGACAAGTGTGTAGAGGCGGAAAATAGATTGGTGGTTGACCGGGCTGGGGTTCGGGTACATGGGAATTGATGGTTAATGGGTTTGGGGCTTTTCTTTTTGAAGTGATGAAAATCTAAAATTATGATGATTGCAGAATTCTGTGAATATACTAAAAACCATTGAATGGTACAGTTTATTTATTTTTTGGAGACGGAGTCTCTCTCTGTTACCCAGGCTGTAGTGCAGTGGAGCCATCTCGGGTCACTGCAACCTCCGCCTCCCGGGTTCAAGCAAATCTCTTGCTTCAGCCTCCTGGTTAGCTGGGACTACAGGCGCCTGCCACCATGCCCAGCTAATTTTTGTATTTTTAGTAGAGACGGGGTTTTACTATGTTGGCCAGGCTGTTCTTGATCTCCTGACCTCATGATCCACCCACCTCGGCCTCCCAAGGTTTACAGGGGTGAGCCCCTGCTCCCGGCCGAATAGTACACTTTAAATGGGTGAATTGTTAGGTAGGGGAATTATATATAAATAAAGGTATTATTAAAGGGATAATTGTTGCTTCTATAATTTTACCACACAGTCTGTGCATTGTTTTGTGTATATGTAAAAATGAAAGCATTTATGCTTGAATCTGGAACAGTAGAGTATCACTGAGTGTTACAAATATATTTCTCTTTGCATTATAAAAATACTAAGTCTTCGTTGTTGAAAATTTGTAAAGCACAGAAATTTGAACAAAATTAAATCATAAGGAATGATATTCGAGATATGTAACTTAAATTTTTGGTAGTATTTGATGTCTGCATAGTTTTTCTGTATGTAATATTGTAAAGCCTTAAAAGAATTAATGGCACTGTTTTTGTGTAGCTGGGTTACTTAAGATTTACTTTGCGATCAGTTTAGAAAGTTTAATTACAGGCTTACCTCTGAGTTATGTTTGACTTGCTGATTTTTGAGAATTAAACTAGTATGGAGGTACGATTACCTATTCCACTGCTTCTAAATTTAGACTGTTTCGTGACTGGTTTAGAAAACAAAATTGGGCATGTTTTAGATGAATGCTTTCAGACTCCTACAAATGAATTAATGAGTGGTCTTATTACCATATTGTAATACTTTTTTTTTTTTTTTTTTGAGACAGAGTCTCACTCTGTCGCCTAGGCTGGAGTGCAATGGCGCGATCTCAGCTCAGTGCAACCCCTGTCTCCGGGGTTCAAGCGATTCCCCTGCCTCAGCCTCCCGAGTAGCTGGCACTATAGATGCCTGCCACCATGCCTGGCTAATTTTTGTATTTTTCTTTTTCTTTTTTTTTCCTTTTTTTGAGATGGAGTTTCGCTCTTGTTGCCCAGACTGGAGTACAGTGGCGCGATCTCCACTCAGTGCAACCTCCGCCTCCCGAGTTCAAGCAATTCTCTCGCCTCAGCCTCGAGTAGCTGGGATTACAGGCATGTGCCACCACGTCTGGCAAATTTTTTTGTATTTTTAGTTTCTCCATGCTGGTCAGGCTGGTCTCGATCTCCCGACCTCAGGTGATCTGCCTGCCTCGGCCTCCCAAAGTGTTGGGATTACAGGCGTGAGTCACCGTGCCTGGCCTAATTTTTATATTTTTAGTAGAGACGGGGTGTCACCATGTTGGCCAGGCTGGTCTTGAACTCCTGACCTCAGGTGATCCACCTGCCTCAGCCTCCCAAAGTGCTAAGATGACAGGTGTGAGCCACAGCACCCAACATGTCATCCTTCTTTAATGGTTCAGAATTGCATTTAAAAAATCAGCTTGAGGTGTACAGTTAAACGTGCCACTTTTACATGTACAATTCTGTGACCTGTCCTTTGCACAAAAGCCCCTCAGTTCACCTCTGTACCTTGATAACCATTTGCTTTCTGTCTTTTTAGTTTGTGTTTTTTGCAATTTGATATAAATGGAATGATAAAATCCTTTTAATCTGACTCTTTTCACTTAATATGATGTTTTTCAGATTCTTCCATATTGTTGCTTGTATCAGTTAATTATTTTTCTCCCCTCCCGTCTCCTCTTCTCTTTCTGGACACAGAGTCTCTCGCTTTGTCATCCAAGCTGGAGTACAGCGTTAGGATTATACAAAGTAATTGTGGTTTTTGCTGGCAAAATGCGCAATTACTTTTGTACCAACCTAATAGCTCACTGCAGGCCTGAATTCCTGGGGTCAAGCAGTTCTCTTGCCTTAATCTCCTGAGTAGTTGAGACCGCAGGCACACACCACCACACCCAGCTAATTTTTGTAGAGGCAGAGTCTCACCATGTTGCCCAGGTTGGTCTCAAACTACTGGGCTCAAGTAATCCTCCTGTCTTGGCCTCCCCAAATGCTGGGATTACAGATGTGAGCCACTGTGCATGGACAGTTAATTCTTTATTTTTGAGTGGTATCCCATCTTACATATGTGAACATCAGTGTGCTTATACATTTCCCCTCTGGATGCACATTTGAGGGGTTTCCACTTTTTGGCTATTATGAATAGAGTTGCTGTGAGTGAGTGTGTAAAAGTCTTTGTAAAGATTATTTTTCTTCTGGATGATGCATAGAATTGGGATTGCTGAGTCATATGGTACATGTTTATTAAAACATTGCCGAATATTTTTCGAAGAGACTTTACAAAATATGGCTTAATTTTTTTTATATTCCCGAAAGGATTAATTTTTGAAACATATTTTCCTGGATACATTAGGCACACTCCCCTTAATTTAATAGTGTTTTGGTTTTTGTTTTGTGTTTTTTTTTGAAACGGAGTCTCACTCTGTCACCCAGGCTGGAATGCAGTGGTGCAATCTCAGCTCACTGCAACCTCTGCCTCCCAGGTTCAAGCAGTTCTCCTGCCTCAGCCTTCCTGGTAGCTGGGATTACAAGCGTGCACCACCATGCCCAGCTAATTTTTGTATTTTTAGTAGAGACGGGTTTCACCATGTTGGCCAGGCTGGTCTCGAACTCCTGACCTCAGGCGATCCACCCACCTTGGCCTCCCAAAGTGCTGAGATTACAGGTGTGATCCACCGTGCCCGTCCAATTTAGTAGTGTTTTATGAAGTCACCATCTCTTTCATACCTATTAGTTAAGGTATGCTTATGCTTAGGGTGTTAATGAAAGCTAAGGATGCTTATTTAAATGCAGATTCTTTCTTTTGGTTTTTTTTGAGATGGAGTCTGCTCTGTTGCCCCAGGTGGCATACAGTGGGGCGATCTCAGTTGCAATCTCTGCCTCCTGGGTTCAAGCAATTCTGCTGCCTCAGCTTCCCAAGTAGCTGTAATTACAGGCGCGCACCACCAAACGCAGCTAATTTTTGTATTTTTAGTAGAGACCGTTTCACCACGTTGGCCAGGCTGGCCTTGAATTCGTGACCTCAAATGATCTGCCCACCTTGGCCTCCCACAGTTCTGGGATTATATGCATGAGCCACTACATCCAGCCTATTTTTATTTTTATTTTTATTTTATTTATTCTATTTTTTTTTTTTTGAGGTGGAGTCTCTGTTGCTGGGCTGGAGTGCAGCGGCATGATCTTGGCTCACTGCAATCTCCACCTTCTGGGTTCAAGCGATTCTCCTGTCTCAGTCTCTAGAGTACCTGGGACTACAGGCGTGCATCACCACGCCCAGCTAATTTTTGTATTTTTAGTAGAGACAGTGTTTCACCATGTTGGCCAGGATAGTCTTTATCTCTTGACCTGGTGATGTGCCACCTCGGCCTGCCAAAGTGCTGGGATTTACAGGCATGAGCCACTGTGCCCAGCCTCTGTTTTTATTTTTTAGAGACAGGGTCTCGAACTCCTGAGCTCGAGTGATTCTCCTGCCTCAGCTCTCAAAGTGCTAGGGGTATGAGCCACTTACTCCTGGCCCTAAAATGCAGATTCTTGAGTCTCATCACCAAAGATTGAAACGTGGGTAATGTTGGAGAGCCACATGGTAATATGGCATCAAAAATAAGTTTTTATTAATGTATTTATTCAGTTACTATTTCTTGTGCTGTTTGTGGCGCTTTGCATTCACACGCCGTTGTGTTTCCCTATGCTTGCGGTAGATGCCAAGGCTTTTCTGGGCCCCTTTCTTTGCTCGCCACCTAGTGGTAACAAGTAGGAATCATCAGAAGTTTTACCAATGAAGGAGCTTCATACGAGGAAGGATAGAAAACATCCAAAGTCTGTTGGTGGCCAACCATATACTCCGTATATTTTTGCTGTATGAACAAATTCCCCTTCCTTTTGTATTTTTGGAAATACTATTTATTTGTGAGACAATACATTTTAGAACCTGTAAATTCTTAATCTTTCTCTTAAACTGACAGCTCATTTTTTTTTGCTGGAAAATAGTTAGGTGTGCCTAATTACCTTATTTAATGAGAGGTGCTTTCAGACCACACTAAATTATATTAGATAGTATATGAAGTCTTTCTCACTCCACCTAACTACCTTCTGGAGTCTTTGTATTGGCTCTTAGTTTGGTTTCCTTTACATGTTTTTGGCTTTTTACTCATATTAGTTTTGATGATTATGAAATTATTTTTGTTAAAATGTTTTTTTCGCAGTAGCTTGACAGAAAAAAACTACTTTGAAAGGAATATGTTAAGAAAACTTCAAATTTGTAAGGTCTGACTTTTCCTTTTCCCATACAGAAATGGTGGAGTCAATGAAGAAAGTAGCAGGGATGGATGTGGAGCTGACAGTTGAAGAAAGAAACCTCCTATCTGTTGCATATAAGAATGTGATTGGAGCTAGAAGAGCCTCCTGGAGAATAATCAGCAGCATTGAACAGAAAGAAGAAAACAAGGGAGGAGAAGACAAGCTAAAAATGATTCGGGAATATCGGCAAATGGTGAGATTGTTGTGCCATCATCCCCCCTTATCCACAGTTTGAGTTACCTGTAGGACGGTACACTTAAGATTTTGAGAGAAAAGGAGACTACATTCATATAACTTGTATTACAGTATGTTATAATGTTTCTGATATTGATCTTTGTGCCTGGTTTATAAGTTAAACTTACCCGTGGCTATGCATGAGGACAAAACATAGTCTGTATCAGGTTTGGTATTTTCCATGGTTTCATCACATCCACTGGCAGGTCTCAATGGATCCCTCTTGGATAAGGGGGAACTATTGTATTTTCAAGCAAAATGATGACTGTTTTTTAAAAAAATATGGTGGGTTGGCCAGGCGCGGTGGCTCAGGCCTGTAATCCCAGCACTTTGGGAGGCTGAGGTGGGCGGATCACGAGGTCAGGAGATCGAGACCATCCTGGCTAACATGGTGAAACCCCGTCTCTACTAAAAATACAAAACATTAGCTGGGCGTGGTGGCGGGAGCCTGTGGTCCCAGCTACTCGGGAGGCTGAGGCAGGAGAATGGTGTGAATCCGGGAGGCGGAGCTTGCGGTGAGCCGAGATCGCACTGCTGCACTCCAGCCTGGGTGACAGAGCGCGAGACTCCATCTAAAAAAAAAAAAAAGCACCCAAAAACCAATATATTGGGTTAATTTGTCTGATTCCTCTTTTTTTTTCCCTGAGGATTATTTAATGAAGTTATTTTACTTACTGTGGGTGTATATACATATATAAAATGTTTCTTATTGTAGGTCTTGTTAAAAAAAAGTTGGACAGCCATCACTGTAATGCAGCAGTTTTCAATTAGAGGTGCTTTTGTACTTCAGAGAACGTTTAACAATGTCTAGAAATACTTTTGATTGTCACAACTTCTGGAGGGTGTTCCTAGCATCTAGTGGGGTGGGGACTGGGGTGCTGCTAACCATTCTACTGGGCACAGCACGGGCCCCACAACAAACTGTCGGGAGTGCTGCTGTTGAGTAACCGATTCTAGTAGAAGAGACAGGCACGTAAATACAGGAAAGAACAGGGAAGAGAATTACAGGGCAGGTGGAAAGTGAGGTTGGTTGGGGGAGGGAAGGGTGGGGGAACCACAGTTACTGACTCGCCAGCTGTACTGGGCACTGTCCTGAGTAGAGAAATATTTTTGTTACATGTATTTGTGCAAGGTAGTACATGAAATCTTTAAAATGGCACTGGAAGGGGGAGGTATTATCCCAACTATGAATGCACAAACCAGGGTTTTGGGTGTTTGACATACCTGAGGTCACATAGAAAGTTGTGAGCTGGGGCCTTCCGTGGTGGCTCATGCCTGTAATCCCAGCACTTTGGGAGGCCAAGGCGGGCAGGTACCTGAGGTGAGGAGTTCGAGAGCAGCCTGACCGACATGGTGAAACCCCGTCTCCACTAAAAATACAAAAATTAGCCAGGCATGGTGGCGGGCACCTGTAATCCCAGCTACTCGGGAGGCTGAGACAGGAGAATCGCTTGAACCCAGGAGGTGGAGGTTGCAATGAGCCAACGTCGAGCCACTGCACTCCATCCAGCCTTGGCAACAAGAGGGAAACTCTGAATCAAAGAAAGAAAAAGTAAAAAATAAAGAGTCCAGATGTCCTGATGAGTCCCTAAATAGAAATAATAAGAGAAGAGGAACTGAAAAAGGAAGCCACGGGCCAAGAGTGGAGTGTTGCAATTCAGACTTCTAGTATGGAGCAGCATGGTCATGGGTGTGGACAAGTGAAAGTCTAGGAGTAGAGAGCAAAGAACTCTGTTGAATGGAACATGGCTGCACCATACCTTGGTGTGATCTCAGGTATTGGGTGGGTTTGCTGTAGATACTCAGTGAATCTGGGAGAAGGGTGTAGAGATCTATTGATGACAAAAACTGAGAAATAGAATGTAGATCATCAGCTTGTGAGGAGGAAGAGTTTGGAGTAATAGAGCAGTCATTGAGTATGCAAGGAGCTAGGAGAACTTAGAAGTCTTCCTTCTCCTAGACCAGTCTCTATTGGAAAAGCTGTCAGGGATGTCGTTTATTCAGAAAGTAGTTTTGCTTGGGATAAGGATGTGATTATAGAAGAAAAAGAGAGAATTTTCTGCAGTGAAACGGAGGTTCCAGGGGCACGGAGAGGACCCTCATGAAAGGTTCAGCAGTAGTGCTGCATGAGTTAATAGCAAACAGGAAGCAAGCTGAGGATGTGCGTTGAGAGGTGGTGTGCGTGTTCAGCATGATCAGTGGATAGAGATGGGTGGCAGTAGCTACTTTGGTAGATAGGTTTTCGGTGTTTTAATAGTTACGGATCTCTGCCACTAAAGGAATTGCCTGGTGAATGTTGTTAAGGATGTGAGTGCTGAAGGCAAACTGCCTGGGTTTAAATTTTGATTCTGTCCCTTGCAGCCTGCCTGGGTTCAAATCCTAGCTCTGCTTATTAAATTCTTATTTAATTGTTGATCTTAGAGCAATGTCTTTACGTTGCTACCTTGTGAAAGAAGGTAATTCATGTAATTGACCAGCATTTACCAAGAAGCATCAGTGTTCAGTTTTAGTCATTGGTAATTCTGTAGCTGTACTGTGGTACTGTGAAGGGGGTGTGGGGGCTGGCGTGTGTGCGTGCCTGCATGTGTGTGTGTAACAATAGGCAGCATGCAGAAGGGAAAAGATACTTTTTATAACCTAGAGGCAGCTTTTCTCTGCTTTTGTGTCAAGAAGGAAGAAGGGAGTTTGGAGAGGGATACAAATTCTTTTTAATACTAAGCTCTCTACCTCAAAACCAGAGATAGAATATGTAATAATTTGTAGAATTTCTAGACTTAATCTGATTTAAAAAAAATTTTTTTTTTTTTAGGTTGAGACTGAGCTAAAGTTAATCTGTTGTGACATTCTGGATGTACTGGACAAACACCTCATTCCAGCAGCTAACACTGGCGAGTCCAAGGTTTTCTATTATAAAATGTAGGTTCTATACTAGAAGGGAAAATGTAAGATTGAAAGTTGGTCCTTTTAGAACCATAACTTTGTTCTATGTAGGTTTTCAACTTTTATTTAAGAATAATTGTTCAATGTTAGAAGGATAGTTAATATTGTAATGAAAAGGTGGTTGGGCTATTATGAAAATGTATTAGCTTTTGCTTATTTATATTCTTTTGTTTTTGTGAGACCTATCCCATTCCCCTCCCCCAAACGGCATACATTTCACAGTGCTTAGTGTTATATATAGACATTTTATTTTATGATTAATAAACTGTCATGCCATTCCTTGGAACCACTTGCTTGTTTAATTCTGGTCTATCAGGTGATAATTTTATTAATTTTTAGAGGCTCCTCAGTTAATTTCCTGGGATTTTTGCTTATATTTAGTAATATGAAATGTCTAAGGAAAAAAATGAAACGAAGCCAGTTATTCCTGAGAGTGTTTAAAATTATTGAAGTACACCTAATTGTTACATATATTTTTGTCACATTTTATATAATATAGAACAATTTTAGCTTATTTTCCTTTAAAAATCGTTCCTAGTTTAAATTTTTTTTTTTTTTTTAATTTTGGTTTTGTTTTAGGAAAGGGGACTACCACAGGTATCTGGCAGAATTTGCCACAGGAAACGACAGGAAGGAGGCTGCGGAGAACAGCCTAGTGGCTTATAAAGCTGCTAGTGATATTGCAATGACAGAACTTCCACCAACGCATCCTATTCGCTTAGGTCTTGCTCTCAATTTTTCCGTATTCTACTACGAAATTCTTAATTCCCCTGACCGTGCCTGCAGGTAAGTTGTGGGGAAGAACAGCAGCGCTCAGCGTGAAAGTTAAGGGGGGCGCTGTTTGGGTTTTCCGTGTTGTTTCTTGGGCCTGTCTTTGTAGACTTGGCTGCATAGTAATTCTTTTGGCTCTTACTGAAACTACTTTGGATAGTATTAAAACAGACCTGTCTCAACCCACTAGCATAGCAGTCAGCATAATTATTTTGATGTGGGATATTTTTGTTGCTGGTAGATTGAAATCTAACATGTTAAAATGAGTAGAGGAAGGAAATGAGAGGAATTAGAATTATTTTAATTTTTGTTATATTAGTTTTCAGTCTTTTTTTAAATTTGAGACCATGTCTCACTCTGTCTCCCAGGCTAGAGTGCAGTGGCGCCATCTCAGATCACTGCAGCCTTCACCTCCTGGGTTCAAGTGATTCTCCTGTCTCAGCCTCCTGAGTAACTGGAGTTACAGGGGCCTGCCACCATGCCCAACTAATTTTTTTTGTATTTTTAGTAGAGACGGTGTTTTCACCATTTTGGCTAGGCTGGTCTGGAACTCCTGACCTCAAGTGATCCGCCCGCCTTCGCCTCCCAAAGTGCTGAGATTACAAGCATGAGTCACCACACCCAGCCAGTGTTCTGTTTCTATGGGCATGTTTTTAATAGTTACTCTCGTAGCAAACATAATTTTATATTTTCTGTTTTAGCATAAACAAGTTTCAGTCTTACTAATGTGTGTTAAACTGTTCCCCCATTTATACTTCAGCTTGTTCCCAGTTTTTGATAATGTAGATAAATATGTAAGGAATATTTATACGTACATAACTTTTTACTTTTAAAAAGTTGTGATAGCCTGGGTGCAGTGGCTCACGCCTGTAATCCCAGCACTTTGGGAGGCTGAGGTGGGTGGGTCACCTGAGATCAGGAGTTCGATACCAACCTGACCAACATGGTGAAACTCTGTCTCTATTAAAAATACAAAATTAGCCGGGTGTGGTGGTGCATGCCTGCAATCCCAGTTACTCGGGAGGCTGAGACAGGAGAATTGTTTGAACCCAGGAGGCAGAGGTTGCGGTGAGCCTCGATTGCACCAGTACACTGTAGCCTGGGTGACACAGTGAGACTTTTTTTCAAATCTCTCTCTCTCTCTCTCCCCCTCTCTCCCCCCCTCCCCCTCCTCCCCCCCTCCCCCTCCCCGTCTCCCTCTCTCTCCCCGTCTCCCTCTCCCTCTCGCCTGGGCGACAAAGCGAGACTTTTACACACACACACACACACACACACACACACACACACACACACAACAATTTAGTGGCACCGAATACATTGACAGTGTTGTGTAATCACCACTATTTGAAAACTTTCTCTTCACCCCACACAAAGCGAATTATAGCCATTAAACAATCAATAACTTCATTTCCCCTCTCCCTAGCTGCTAGTAACTTTTATTTTACGTTGTCACTATGAATTTGGCCCATTCTAGATACCTCATGTAAGTGGGATCATATAATATTTGTCCTTTTGTGGCTGTCTTTATTTCATCTAGCGTAATGTTTTTATCCATGTAAAAGCATGGATCAGAGCTTCAGTCCTTTTAGTGACTGAATTTACACAATTCATTTTATGTATTTTGCACACATTGTTTAGTCATTAAACTTTTGGTGGTCAGTGGGTTTCCACCTTTTCCCTATGGTGAGTACAATGCTGCTATGAAAATGGGTGCACTAAGTATTTGCTTGAGTCCTTGTATTTAACTTCACCTTGAGGTGGAATTGGGACTGAAAATTCTGTGGGTAACTTTTTTTTCCGGACAGGATCTTGTTCTGTCTCTGCAGTTGTGCACTCATAGCTCACTGCAGCCTTGGCTTCCTGGGCTCAGCCGATTCGCCTACCTGAGCCTTCCAAGTAGCTGTCACTAGAGGTGGATGCCACCATACCTGGCCTTTTCTTTTCCTTTTTTTTTTCTTTTTTCTTTTTTTTGAGGGAGAGCCTGGCACTGTCACCCAGGCTGGAGTGCAGTGGCGTGATCTTGGCCCACTGCAACCTCTGCCTTCCAGGTTCAAGCGATTCTCCTGCCTCAGCATCCAAAGTAGCTGGGATTATAGGCGCCTGCCACCATGCCTGGCTAATTTTTTGTATTTTTAGTAGGGATGGGGTTTCACAGTGTTGGCCAGGCTAGTCTCGAACTCCTGACCTCGTGTGATCTGCCCGCCTCGGCCTCCCAAAGTTCTGGGATTACAGGTGTGAGCCACTGTGCTTGGCCAGCCCTTTTTTTTTTTTTTTTTTAAGATGGAGTCTCGCTCTGCTGGCCAGGCTGGAGTACAGTGGTGCGATCGCAGCTCACTGCAACCTCCACCTCCCAGATTCAAGCGATTCTGGTGCTTCAGCCTCTCAAGTAGCTGGGATTACAGGCATGTGCCACCATGCTTGGCTAATTTTTGGGGGCATTTTTAGTAGAGACGAGGTTTCACTATCTTGGTTAGGCTGGTCTCAAACTCCTGACCTCAGCCTCCCTCCCAAAGTGCTGGGATTACAGGCATGAGCCACTGCGCCCGGCCAATTTTTAAATTTTTTTTGGGCTGCGTGCAGTGGCTCACGCCTGTAATCCCAGCACTTTGGGAGGCCGAGGAGGGCAGATCACGAGGTCAGGAGATCGAGACCATCGTGGCTAACGTGGTGAAACCCCGTCTCTACTAAAAATACAAAAAATCAGCCGGGCGTGGTGGCGGGCGCCTGTAGTCCCAGCTACTCGGGAGGCTGAGGCAGGAGAATGGCGTGAACCTGGGAGGCGGAACTTGCAGTGAGCCAAGATCACGCCACTGCACTCCAGCCTGGGCGACAGAGCGAGACTCCGTCTCAAAAAAAAAATTTTTTTTTGTTGTTTTGTTTTGTAGAGGCAGGGTCTGGCTGTGTTGCCGAAGCTGGTCTTGAAATCCTGGCCTCAAGTAATCCTCTTGCCTTAGCCTCCCAAAATGCTGAGAATACAGGCCTGAGCCACTGCACCAGGCCCTTTTGCCCATTTTTGAATTCATGTTTTTTTCGTTTGTTAAGTGTTGAGAGTTCATTATTCCAGATAGTAACCTCTTAGCAAGTAAATGGTTTGTGAGTATTTTCTCCTCTTCTGTAGGTTGGCATTTTGTTGTTGTTGTTGTTTTTTGCTATTGTCTTTTTCTTTTTTTTTTTCCCCCGAGAGGAGAGTCTCGCTGTGTTTCCCAGGCTGGAGTGCAGTGGTGCAATCTCAGCTCACTGCAACCTCTGCCTCCCGGTTTCAAGCGATTCTCCTGCTTCAGCCTCCCAGGTAGCTGGGATTACAGACGCCCGCCACCATACCCAGCTAATTTTTGTATTTTTATGTAGAGATGGGTTTTCACAGTGTTGGCCAGGCTGGTCTTGGACACCTCACCTTAAGTGATCCAGCCACCTCGGCCTCCCAAAGTGCCGAGATTACAGGCGTGAGCCACTGCACCCAGCCTATTTTAAATTTTTACAGTAAATATTGCAGTAGCAAAATGGTTTTTTTGCTTTTTTTTTTTATTTTGACGGAGTCTCACTCTGCTGCTGTGGCTGGAGTACAGTGGCGTGATCTCAGCTCACTGAAAGCTCAGCCTCCTGGGTTCAGGCGATTCTCTCGCCTCAGCCTCCCAAGTAGCTGGTACTACAGGCACCCGCCACCACGCCCGGTTAATTTTTTGTATTTTTTTTTTTTTTTTTTTGAGACGGAGTCTCGCTATGTCCCCCAGGCTGGAGTGCAGTAGCGCGATCTCGGCTCACTGCAAGCTCTGCCTCCCGGGTTCACGCCATTCTCCTGCCTCAGCCTCCCGAGTAGCTGGGACTACAGGCGCCCGCCACCACGCCCGGCTAATTTTTGGTATTTTTAGTAGAGATGGGGTTTCACCGTGTTAGCCAGGATGGTCTCGATCTCCTGACCTCGTGATCCACCCGCCTCGGCCTCCCAAAGTGCTGGGATTACAGGTGTGAGCCACCGCGCCCGGCCTATTTTTTGTATTTTTAATAGAGATGGGGTTTCCCTGTGTTAGCCAGGATGGTCTCGATCTCCTGACCTCGTGATCTGCCCTCCTCGGCCTCCCAAAGTGCTGGGATTACAGGCGTGAGCCACCGCGCCCGGCCCCTTTTGGTTTTTGTATGTGTTTTTTTTTGGTTTGTTTGAGGACAACTGCTTAAGCAAAGTAGGGTTTTTAAGTGAAAGCCTTTCAAAGTTTGAGGAAAGGGGATTAACTGATACATTGGAACTTTAATGTTGACTATTATAGGCATGCTTCACTGCGCTTGACTGAATTTTTTTTTTTTTTTGCATTTTTAGTAGAGACAGGTTTTCACCATCTTGGTCAGGCTGGTCTCGAACTCCTGACCTCAGGTGATCCACCTGCCTCAGCCTCCCAGAGTGCTGGGATTACAGGCGTGAGCCACTGCGCCCAGCCAATGTAAAAACATTCTAAATGGCTAGTTGAGTTTGTCCAGATAGGGATCGTAACTGAAGAAGCTGTGGCTATTTAGCTAATACTGGTGGTTGCACCTTTCCTTGTCAGACTCCAGTCTAGCTGTCCCACGTGTAGCTCCAGTTTAAAGTCACTCGCATGCCTTTGCTCATGCTTCTGCTTAAACCTGAAGTGTGTTTTGTTTTCTCCTTATCCATTGAGATTAGTTCAAATTTGACTTTCCCTTTAATTGCTCCTCCTTCTGGGTCCCTGAAATACTTTATTTGGAATAGCACTTCATTCTTCTTCTTCTTTTGTTTTTGTGCTCTCTTGCCCAGGCTGGAGTGCATTGGCACAGTTTCACCTCACTGCAACCTCCGCCTCCCAGGTTCAAGGGATTCTTCTGCCTCAGCCTCCTGAGTAGCTGGGATTACAGGCATACGCCACCATGCCCGGCTAATTTTGTGTGTGTGTGTGTGTGTGTGTGTGTGTGTGTGTGTGTGTGTGTTTTTAGACGGAGTCTTGCTCTGTTGCCCAGGCTGGACTGCAGTGGCGTGATCTCGGCTCACTGCAGGCTCCGCCTCCTGGGTTCACACCATTCTCCTGCCTCATCCTCCCAAGTAGCTGGGACTACAGGCACCTGCCACTGCTCCCGGCTAATTTTTTTGTATTTTTAGTAGAGACGGGGTTTCACTGTGTTAGCCAGGATGGTCTCGATCTCCTAACCACGTGATCCGCCCGCTTCTGCCTCCCAAAGTGCTGGGATTACAGGCTTGAGCCACTGCACCCGGCCTAATTTTTTGTGTTTTTAATAGGTTTTGCCATGGTGGCCCGGCTGGTCTTGAACTCCTGGCCTCAAGTGATCTGCGCGCACGCATCAGCCACCCAAAGTGTGCTGATTACAGGCATGAGCCACCACAGCCAGCCTCCTCCTTGTAAAATAGTTATGTATTTGTCTACCCTCCATTTCTAAATTTTTAAGTTGATGTGGACTTAGATTATGTCTCTTTTTTTTCTATTGGTATATCGTATCGTTTGTTGGACATAGTACACAGTACTCAGTAAGTGTGGATTTTCTTTTAAAACTGTAAATGGCTTACATAATCACATTTCCATGGCGTCTGTGTTGCCTTTTATTTTCTTTGCTTCCCTGCCTCCATTAACGTGAAATTAAATTTTTTTAAACTTTGAGGTATTGTCCAAGATTTTCTTTTTGCATTAATACTTTGTTAAATATCTCAACCTTGTAATCCAGCACTTTGGGAGGCTGAGGCGGGCACATCACGAGGTCAGAAGATCAAGACCATCCTGGCTAACACGGTGAAACCCTGCCTCTGCTAAAAATATAAAAACAAATCAGCCGGGTGTGGTGGCGGGCGCCTGTAGTCCCGGCTACTCGGGAGGCTGAGGCAGGATAATGGTGTGAACCCAGGAGGCGGAGCTTGCATTTAGCCTACATCCCGCCACTGCACTCCAGCCTGGGTGATAGAGCGAGACCCCGTCCCCCAAAAAAAAAAAAAAAAAAAAAAAATTTTTTTTTTTTTTTTTTTTTTTTTTTTTTTTAAAAAATCTTGGGGGTGGTAGTGTGTACCGTTTGTCCCAGCCACTCAAGAGGCTAAGGTTCGGAAGATTGCTTGAACGCAGGAGTTCAAGTCCAGCCTGGGCAACATAACGAATCCCTTAAAAAAAAAAAAAAAAAAAAAAAAAAAAAAAAACTAGGCTGGGCGCGGTGGCTCACGCCTGTAATCCCAGCACTTTGGGATGCTGAGGCTGGTGGATCACGAGGTCAGGAGATCGAGACCATCCTGGCTAACACGGTGAAACCCCATCTCTACTAAAAATACAAAAAATTAGCCGGGTGTGGTGGCGGGCGCCTGTAGTCCCAGCCATTCGGGAGGCTGAGGCAGGAGAATGGCATGAACCTGAGAGGCGAAGCTTGCAGTGAGCCGAGATCACGCCACTGCACTCCAGCCTGGGCGACAGAGCCAGACTCCGTCTTAAAAACAAACAAACAAAACTTTTTGAAATAAGTGAACTATTGCCTAGAACTTGGAGGTATATTTTTTGGTGATGGTTTAGGATGGAAGTTGTTCTATGTATTTTATTAGTCGATATGTATATTATAGCATATCAGTAGCAGGCTTAAAGCATAGTAAGAAGTAGTGTTCCACATACCTTTAAGTTAATTTTTATTGTATTTGCTTTTTCTTTGCATTATCATTGTGACTATTACAAACTGGAATAACTGAAGAAAAGATTGCTGTCTAGCATGTCATTTCTAATTCTGATTTTGGACTTAATTTTTATAACACTTCTATTGAAATACCTTTAGGTTGGCAAAAGCAGCTTTTGATGATGCAATTGCAGAACTGGATACGCTGAGTGAAGAAAGCTATAAGGACTCTACACTTATCATGCAGTTGTTACGTGATAATCTGACACTATGGACTTCAGACATGCAGGGTGACGGTAAGCAAGCACGGAGTGAAACAGGCACCTCTTTCAGTTGCAGGATTTGTTTGTACTCTCTTTAGACATTCCTTGGCTTGTCGTTATATCAAGCTAGAATTTAGATTCACCGCCTGCCCTCTATGAAATTGTAATTGCTGCCTTTATAGGAAATGGTGCTACAGTACGGAGTTCCATTTTGGGAACTTAGTTTAGCTCTTCCTTTACACTGTTTCAAAGGTTGAGGACAGGAGGAGTGGAGAGCAAGCAGTTTATTTTATCTTCATTCAATTCAATTTTAGGGGGCTGAAGTTAAGTGTATTTAAATCCAGATGGTATCAGTAGGTATTTATGAAGTTTTTCTCTTTGTTGAAATATTTTATCTAAAAGGGAACTGGTTTCCCATTTCCCTCTGGGATTCTGTAGAGAAATTGAATGTTGGCCCTTGGGTCTCTTTTTTTTTTTTTTGAGACGGAGTCTTGCTGCGACACCCAGGCTGGAGTGCGGTGGCTCAATCTCGGCTTACTGCAAACTCTGCCTCCCGGGTTCAAGCGATTCTCCTGCCTCAGCTTCCCAGGGTAGCTGGGGTTGCAGGCACCCGTTATCACGACTACCTAGTTTTTGTATTTTTAGTAGAGACGGGATTTCTCCATGTTGGTCAGGCTGGTCTTGAACTCCTGACCTCAGGTGTTCTGCCCGCCTCAGCCTCCCAAAGTGCAGGGATTACAGGCGTTAGCCACTGCGCCCTGCTGTTTTTATTCTTTTCTTTTCTTTTCTTTTCTTTTTTTTTTTTTGAGATGGAGTCTCGCTCTGTTGACCGGGCTGGAGTGCAGTGGCGCGATCTTGGCTCACTGCAAGCTCCGTCTCCTGGGTTTACACCATTCTCCCACCTCAGTCTCCCGAGTAGCTGGGACTACAGGTGCCTGCCACCACGCCTGGCTAGTTTTTTGTATTTTTAGTAAAGATGGAGTTTCACTGTGTTAGCCAGGTTGGCCTCGATCTCCTAACCTTGTGATCCACCCGCCTCGGCCTCCCAAAGTGCTGGGATTACAGGCGCAAGCCACCGTGCCCGGCCTGTTTTTATTCTTAAGAGGTTTTCATTGCAAACGCTTCAGAGTATTTTAGTAAACTTAATTGTGATGTTGAGTGTGTGTTAATGTTTACTTTAAATACAGGAGCCCAAATTTGTTATGTTTGTTGATTTTAAAGGAAATTTTATTCTCTGTCTAGAGAATCATTTTGATCCATGGTAGATTGTTGAACAGGGATGGAGAAGAGGACAAATTAGTGTGATAGGAGTATTACAGGATAGTTTTACATTTGGTGGTGGTGGTGCTGGTAGGAGGTTGTAAACAAAGTCTGATGTCAGTTTTAGCTGCGGTTCCTTTAAGAATGTTTCTAAGGCTGTGCCGGGCGCGGTGGCTCATGCCTATAATCCCAGCACTTTGGGACGCCATGGCGGGTGGATCACGCGGTCAGGAGATCGAGACCATCCTGGCTAACACGGGGAAACCCCGTCCCTACTAAGTATACAAAAAATTGGCTGGGCGTGGTGGCGGGCTCCTGTAGTCCCAGCTACTCAGGAGGCTGAGGCCGGAGAATTGCTTAAACCCAGGAGGCGGAGGTTGCAGTGAGCTGAGAGATACGCCATTGCACTCCAACCTGGGCTACAGAGGAAGACTCCATCTAAAAAAAAAAAAAAGAGATAACGTTTCTTAGGCTGAAACATAAAACATATGTCGCGTTGCTTGAGGCTATCTGTAGTTTCTTTTGGGGAAACGGACCTGCTGTATTGTCTTTGGAAGTGTTATACTTTTTGAAAATGCTTCTGAAAGTGGGCACGTATGTGTCTTTTCTCTGGAAGGATCAAATCAGATTTGTGACTTTTGGGTTATGGTACTAAAGTGAGAATTAGGTGACTCAGCTTTTAACATTTACTAGCTTTATGATATGTTTAGGATTTGACTAGATCAGGATTGGCATGAGATATTCACATACGTAGGACTTACTTACACACTTGCAACAGTGCCAGATGGAGCCACAGAACACTTCCCAGCGCAGCATTTCAGGCAGCTACTCCCAGCCCTTGGGACTCAGAAATAATTTACCAACTGTGAACAAGTGGCTTCCAGCTGGAAAATCTGTCCTATGCCGGTTGCAGTGGCTTGTGCCTGTAATCCCAGCACTTTGGGAGGCCAAGGTGGGAAGATGCTTGAGCCTAGGAGTTCAAGACCAGCCTGGGCAACATAGTAAGACCCTGTCTTTAAAAAAAAAAAAAATGCCGGGTGCAGTGGTATGTGCCTGTAATCTCAGCTACTTGCAAGGCTGAGGCAGGAGAATTGCTTGAACCCAGGAGGTGGAGGTTGCAGTGAGCTGAGATCACGCCCCACTGCACTCTAGCCTGGGTGGCAGAGCGAGGCTTCATAGAGCAGGACTTTGTCTCAAAACAAAAAACAAAAACAACAGCCAGGTGTGACAACGCATGCTTCTCAGACGGCTGAGGTTGGGGGATCTTGAGGCTGCAGTGAGCTTCGATTGCGCCACTGTATTCTAACCTGGATGACTGAACGAGATGCCATCTCTTCAGGGAAGAAAAAAAGTTGTAACAACAATTATGAAGAAGAATGGTCAAACAGCTGTGGACTCGTAATGGTCATCCCCAGCTCAGATGCTAGTATCTCTCTGCCTGTTGATGGAGGGAAAGCATGCGGAGAGTTTGGGGCGCGGGATTGACTTCAGGAAATGATACACCTCTCACCTCTGGGGACATGTTTTTGAGAGTAAAAGTAATAAGTAATGAAAGTGACCTGACTTGAAAGTTTTTTCTGTGTGTGTGTTTTATTTTTTTTTTTTGAGATGGAGTTTTGCTCTTGTTACCCAGGCTGGAGTGCAGTGGTGCTCTCTCAGCTGACTGCAACCTACATCTCCTGGGTTCAAGTGATTCTCCTGCCTCTGATTCTCCTGCCTTATCCTCCCTAGTAGCTGGGACTACAGGTGTCTGCCACCACCACTCCTAGCTAATTTTTTGTATTTTTAATAGAGACGGGGTTCCACTATGTTGGCCAGGCTGGTCTCCAACTCCTGACCTTGTGATCTGCCCATCTCGGCCTCCCAAAGCGCTGGGATTACAGGTGTGAGCCACCGCGCCTGGCTGATTTTTTGTTTTGTTTTGTGAGACGGAGTCTCTCCCTGTTGCCCAGATTGGAATGCAATGGTGCGATCTCGGCTCACTGCAACCTCTGCCTCCTGGGTTCAAAGGATTCTCCTGCCTCAGCCTCCTGAGTAGCTGGGATTACAGGCGTGCGCCACCATACCCAGCTAGTTTTTTGTTTGTTTAGTAGAGGCAGGGTTTCACCATGTTGGCCAGGCTGGTCTCTAACTCCTGACCTCGTGGTCCACCTGCCTCGGCCTCCCAAAATGCTTGGATTACAGGCGTGAGCCACTGCGCCTGGCCATTTTTTTTTATTATTATTATTTTAATAAAAACATATGCTGGGCACAGTGGCTCATGCCTGTAATCCCAGCAGTTTGGGAGGCCGAAGTGGACGGATCACCTGAGGTCAGGAGTTTGAGACCAGCCTGACCAACATGGAGAAACCCCGTCTCTACTACAAATACAAAAATTAGCCAGGTGTGGTGGCGGGCACCTGTAATCCCTGCTACTCAGGAGGCTGAGACAGGAGAATCACTTGAACCCGGGAGGCAGAGGTGCAGTGAGCCAAGATCACTCCATTGCACTCCAGCCTGGGCAACAAGAGCAAAACTCTGTCTCAAAGAAACGAAACAAAACAAGAAAACACATTTGATACCAACTCATAACCAAGTCTGGATTACTTCTGTAGCTCATTATCACTGATAACCAAGAGTTGATTAATCAAAGTAGACTACCTGTCAGTCTATGTACAGAACTAAAGATAATCCTTATTCTTGGTTGTCGAGTACAGTTTTAGGAAATGGATCATCTTAAAATAGGGTAATACGGCCTGGTGCAGTGGCTCACGCCTATAATCCCAGCACTTTGGGAGGCCGAAGCGGGTGGATCACCTGAGGTCAGGAGTTCGAGACCAGCCTGACCAACATGGAGAAACCCCATCTCTACTAAAAATACAAAATTAGCCAGGCGTCGTGTCACATGTCTGTAATCCTAGCTACTGGGGAGGCTGAGGCAGGAGAATCGCTTGAACCTGGGAGTTGGAGGTTGTGATCAACTGAGATCGCGCCGTTGCACTCCAGCCTGGGCAACAAGAGAGAAACTTCGTCCAAAAAAAAAAAATACAGGGTAATACTTTCGCAGTTTTTAAAAATCTAGTGAAATTCGGCTGGGCGCAGTGGCTCACGCCGGTTAATCCCAGCACTTTGGGAGGCTGAGGCGGGCGGATCACGAGGTCAGAAGATTGAGACCATCCTGGCTAACACAGTGAAACCCCGTCTCTACTAAAAATACAAAAAAAATTACCCGGGCGTGGTGGTGGGCGCCTGTAGTCCCATTTACTTGGGAGGCTGAGGCAGGAGAATGGGGTGAACCCAGAGGCGGAGCTTGCAGTGAGCCGAGATAGCACCACTGCACTCCAGCCTGGGCGACAGAGCAAGACTCCGTCTCAAAAAAAAAAAAAATCTAGTGAAATTCATTTGTGTTCAATTCCTTATTGAGTCTGTAAATCAGTTGATTAAATTTGGTTAAGAAGAGTAATTTTCACTTAATTTTTATTAGGTGAAATACTTTTTATTTATATAATGCTTCCAGTCATGAAATAGTTCAACAGTGAAAAATTCAGGTGGTCTGTTGACATTCCGGTACAACTAACAAACTCTGAATACACAAATAATTGTGGGTACAAAGAAATTGTTCATCAGTTTGAGAAGTTGAATTTGTCAAAAATTAGAGTTTTTGAGATGGAGTATCACTCTGTTGCCCAGGGTGGAGTATAGTGGCGCAATCTCTGCTCACTGCAGCTTCCACCTCCCGGGTTCAAGCGATTCTTCTGCCTCGTCCTCTCTGAGTTGCTGGGACTACAGGTGCCCACCACCACGCCTGGCAATAATTCGTATTTTCAGTAGAGACAGGGTTTCCCCGTGTTAGCCCGGATGGTCTCAATCTCCTAACCTCGTGATCCACCTGCCTCAGCCTCCCAAAGTGCTGGGATTACAGGCCCGAGTCACCGCACCTGGCCTAGTATTACATCTTTTTTTTTTTTCCTTTTTTCGTGAGACAGAGTCTTGCTTTGTCACCCAGGCTGGAGTGCAGTGGTGCTATCTTGGCTCACTGCAAACTCCGCCTCCCGGGTTCACGCCATTCTCCTGTCTCAGCCTTCCTGGTAGCTGGGACTACAGGTGCCCGCCACCATGCCCGGCTAATTTTTTTTTGTATTTTTAGTAGAGGCGGGGTTTCCCCGTGTTAACCCGGATGGTCTCAATCTCCTAACCTCGTGATCCGCCTGCCTCGGCCTCCCAAAATGCTGGGATTACAGGCGTGAGCCACTGTTCCCGGCCTACATTTTTTAATAAATTGGTTTTGAAACTGCAATGGTGCCTGCCTGTAATCTCGGCTGTTCAGCAAGGTGAGGCAGAAGGATCACTTGAGCCCAGGAGTTTGACACCAGCTTGGGCAAGATAAAACTTCATCTCACAAAATAAAATACTACTTTTGTGACTTGGGTTCCGTGGTGAATATAGGAGAATCGTCATGAAAGTGGCAGTTTACTAGGATGTGACTTTGCATTTAGTTTAAGGATTATTTAGATTTTTTTGTTTTTTAAAGAGACGGTATTTATGTCTTTTAATTTTAGAATATGTTAATGTCTGTCCCAGCATGTTGGAACATAATTTCTTTAAAGGGAGGGATCATTGCTTTTTCTCAAGTGATTTTAGTCTCTTCACCCTGTGGTAAGAGGATTGTTTCATATACGAATCCATAGGTAGGAAATACATGTTCTCCCTGCCTGTTCCCCTCTCTCCAAAATGTAGATACACTGGGCAAAGAAACATAGCCAAGGAATCCTTTTTCCCCTAATATCTGTATGTCTTTCAAGAGGATATTACTTCCTTCTCAGAGTAGAAGGGAGGAGGAGTAGACAGATTGTTGCTTAGAGTGAAGTTTACACGAAGTAAGACCAAAGTCCGGCTCCTGTATCATTGTTTTCCTTTGTCCTGCTCTGTTGGTTTATTTTTCTTGTAATGTTGCTTTCATATGATTGTTCTCCCTCCCTTTTTCCTTGCAATATAGATTCCTAAAGGAAAACCCAACTCTTCCTTTCCTAAAAACTCTACTTTGTAAGTCACGTTCATGGCACAGTGAATTCCGCTTTCAGTTTTGGTTCTTCACTAATCATGCCTGCGTATGATCGTCCTGTTGCTTACAGACTCTGCCTGTTCCACCTTCCAGGGCGCTGACCTAAGCCTTTTCCGGCCTGCTCCTCCTGCCTACTGTGGTTGGATGTGATGTATATGACAGTGACATTTTTATGCCAAAGTTACTTGGAACTTCTGGCACATCTCATGGTTGCTTACAAGCGAGTTGTGTTCTAGTGTTTGTGTTAATGATACTTTGGCAGTGATTTGCTGTTAGAGTGAATGTTCCTATCATGTTTCCTACGTTTGAATACGTTATTGTCCTTTGGAGAACAGTTGGGTGCCCATCAGTTCTTTCATCCCTAAGCAATTTTTTTTTGCCTTTGCATATTTTTTTTCTGTCTTATGAATTAAAGATCTTCATGTATTTTAAGTAGTTTTAAAATTTTATACATTTTTTTGAGACGGAGTTTTGCTCTTGTTGCCCCGCCTGGAGTGCAGTGGCGTTCAAAGCTCACTGCAGAAATAGAACTCCCCCACCTCAGCCCCCCAAGTAGCTGGGACTATAGACATGTGGCCCCATGCCCAGCGTATGTAGTTTTTTTTTTTTTTGAGACGGAGTCTCGATTGTCGCCCAGGCTGGAGTGCAGCGGCAGAATCTTGGCTCACTGAAAGCTCCGCCTCCTGGGTTCACGCCATTCTCCTGCCTCCCGAGTAGCTGGGACTACAGGCGCCTGCCACCATGCCTGGCTAATTTTTTTTTTTTTTTTTTGTATTTTTAGTAGAGACAGGGTTTCACTGTGTTAGCCAGGATGGTCTCGATCTCCTGACCTCATGATCCACCTCTCTTGGCCTCCCAAAGTGCTGGTATTACAGGCGTGAGCCACCATGCCTGGCTCCAGCATACATAGTTTTTTACTTTTAGTTTTATTTATTCTTTTTTTTTTTTTTTTGAGACGGAGTCTCACTCTGTTACCCAGGCTGGAGTGTAGTGGCATGTTCTTGGCTCGCTGCAACCTCCGTCTCCTGGGTTCAAGCAATTCTCATGCCTCAGCTTCCCAGGTAGCTGGGATTACAGGCATGTGCCACCACGCCAGGCTAATTTTTTGTATTATTTTTTCAGTAGAGATGGGGATTTACTGTGTTAGCCAGGATGGTCTTGATCTTCTGACCTCGTGATCCGCCCGCCTTTGCTTCCCAAAGTGCTGGGATTACAGGCGTGAGCCACCGTGCCCGGCGTTATGTTCATTTTTTGTAGAGACAGGGCTTCACTGTGTTGCTGAGGCTGTAAGTGGGTTTTGAAGTCACACAGCAATGTCAAGCGTTTCCGCCGCAGAAGAGATTTGAAAACTACTGAAACCTTGATGCTGTGACATTTGTCATTTTGAGATCATTTAGGCTGTTTCAAAGCTGTACTCAGTGTAAATGCTTCATGTGTGTAGGCAGCTAGTTTGGTGTTATTTGTCCATCCTAATTAAATAATTTAACAAGCATTATGAATGGATAGTCATTTGAACATTTATGATTCTTGGGTTGATTTTTCATTTATTTTGTTTCAAACTAGTTAACTGTGTAGTAATTGTAAGTGGTTTTTTTAAAAAAGTACAAGTGAATGTAACTTTTACCTGTTACATCATTTTTAAGGGAAAAGCCTGCATGCTTCTTTATTTTGGCTGACTTGTTTAATGCATACTAATAGGTAGATGACCCTCCAACCAATAGGTGGCTTTCTGTTGCATGTCATAGTGCAGTTGAAACTCCTTAGGGTAATCACCCTCTTTAAAGGCAAAAGACAAATAGCATGAGTGAAGTGGTCCAAATGCCATTCTTTAATAACCTCAGTGGTCTGATTTACTTTGAGCATGCTGTGTTTCACTCTGAAGTAAAATCTGATTATAGTTTGGTGTATCTGGCCAAGATACAAAAGCTGAAATATTTATAACAGCAGAACCCCACAATAAAATACGATAGAACTTCTTGGCAACAGTTTATTGCTCAGTTAACTATTTTGAAGCATTTCTGATAATTAGCTTGTGGGTAAATTAGATTTTGCAAAAAGTTTGCAAAATACTCTTGATTCTTGAAGAGGTGAGGTTATTGAGAAAGAGTATTTTGACCCAAGATTTATGTGAAAGCTTGAATGTCATTTTAGTAAGATGGTTTCCTTGGCTGTCTACGTCAAGAGCTTATTTAGCGTAAAAACATTGAGTTGTACTGCGCATCAGTTTTTTTCATTCTGTTGACCAATAAATACTTTCAGGACCATAATCCCTTCTTGGCTTAGGCATCTCAGGTGTCAAGGATGATAGAAGTCCTTTGCCTGCGTTTAATACCAATTGTAGCAAGTAGAAGAGTCTTTATGCTTGGAATGACACCTTTGTTTGTGGCTGCCATAGCCTAATGTAGTCAATACGAAATAATTGACTTTTTTTCTTTTTTAACAGGTGAAGAGCAGAATAAAGAAGCGCTGCAGGACGTGGAAGACGAAAATCAGTGAGACATAAGCCAACAAGAGAAACCATCTCTGACCACCCCCTCCTCCCCATCCCACCCTTTGGAAACTCCCCATTGTCACTGAGAACCACCAAATCTGACTTTTACATTTGGTCTCAGAATTTAGGTTCCTGCCCTGTTGGTTTTTTTTTTTTTTTTTTAAACAGTTTTCAAAAGTTCTTAAAGGCAAGAGTGAATTTCTGTGGATTTTACTGGTCCCAGCTTTTAGGTTCTTTAAGACACTAACAGGACTACATAGAGGCTTTTTCAGCATTACTGTGTCGTCTCCGTGCCAGATGTGGCAAGATCACCATTAGCAAATGGAAATTACATTTGAAAGCCATTAGACTTATAGGTGATGCAAGCATCTAAGAGAGAGGTTAATCACACTATAGAGGCATAAGTGGTATCAGTTTTCATTTTTCTAATTGTTTAAACTGTGTTTTATACCAGTGTTTGCAAGTAATTGGGTGTTAGCTTGAGATGGTTAAAGGTGGTTTGGGGAGGGACTTCGTTGTAATGGTTTTGCTGTAAAAAATGTTTCCAACTCCGCTGAAATGTTGCTGAAAAGCATGGTGCTGGTAACAGTTCAACAATCCGTGGCTGCTCATTCTTGCCTACTTTACTCTCCCACTGAAGCAGGTTAGCGTTGAAGGTGGTATGGAAAAGCCTGCATGCCTGTTCAATTCTTTTGTTTCTTCTCCTTCCCCCTCCCCCTACCTCCTTCCCCTCACTCCTCCCCTCCTTCGCTCGCTCAACCTCTTTTGTTCAGTATGTGTAACTTGAAGCTAATTTGTACTACTGGATATCTGACTGGAGCCACAGATACAGAATCTGTATTGTTCTTACTGAAACACAGCATGGAATTAACATTAAACTTAAATAAAACAAACCTAAATTAAAAATGCCAAATATCGCGCCTCCATCCTTTATACTTCTAAAATAAAATCTCTAGTCCAAACACACTGACAGTATTATGTTTGCCTGAATGTGAAACATTCCTCCTTTTTTCTTCCATAAATAATTTGTTTGCTTCCCA
Source organism: Homo sapiens (assembly GCF_000001405.40). NCBI lineage: Eukaryota > Metazoa > Chordata > Mammalia > Primates > Hominidae > Homo > Homo sapiens. Next base: position 1,344,411 of record NC_000017.11, on the reverse strand, counting down.
AAGATGTATGTTTTGGAAAAAAATTGCCTGTAGTCTGGTTGTGAAGAACACTGAGTCAGTTGATGGTGTGTCTTGTCCTCCAGACCAGGCAGCAACATGGTATTTATTTTAATCATTAAAGTACAACATGAGTAGTACAAGGTGTAATTATGGATCATTTTCTAGCATAGTATTTCATACAACCAAATAAGGCTGAATGTCTTATAATAATTCTTAGAGGTAAAAACTGTGTGCCCTCTTCCTCCAGAGGCTAGTGGCAGTAGTGGAGAATTACTCAATCCTTTCTTAGTAATCCATACACACATTATAGACAGCAGGATAGCAGTCTCCCTTTCCAGAAACACTGTATAAGAAGCTTCTTTCCATAAACAGTTTATACATCAATGTGTATAGATACCTAGTTACTGTAGATCTTTTTATGTTAGGCATTCAGATGTGTCTCATTCTGACTGCGTAACATTGATGTACACCTGATTTTGTTAAGACCAGTTTGCTCCTTTTGGGCAGGTGCTGCAGGAAATACCCTTGGAACAGTTTTTGCTTAAATATTTGTATGTATCTGGAAGGTACATTTCTAGATTCCCTGTGTCAGTAAACATTTTTCAGTTGATAAATCCTTCCTCGTCACACTTGTCTTCTAAAATTGGATGTTGAGACTGCAAGTTTACTCTCGGTTTAAAGTGTTAGTAGCAGAGATTTAGGAAATGAACAGATCAGCGATATCCTAGTAGCGTTTAGTGAGTGCTGGCAATGAGAATAAACATGTTTTTGTGAGTTGCTTTTCCGAGAGATAGGGAGACCATTGAATATAATTATATGCTGCTGTTTGGAGCAACCTCCAAGAAGCTTTCAAGTTGATTTGCTCTGTTTCCAGCACACCTGCTACACTTAAAGGTCAAAATCCAAGGAATTCGTCAAGTCTGTTGCAGAGTTTAAAGAAACCACTCGGCTGGGTGCGGTGGCTCACACCTGTAATCCCTGCAATTTGAGAGGCCGAGGCGGGCGGATCACGAGGTCAGGAGATTGAGACCATCCTGGCTAACACGGTGAAACTCCGTCTCTACTAAAAGTACAAAAAATTAGCCAGGCATGGTGGCGCACGCCTGTACTCCCAGCTACTCGGGAGGCTGAGGCAGGAGAATCGCTTGAACCCGGGAGGCAGAGGTTGCAGTGAGCCGAGATCACGCTACTGCACTCCAGCCTGGGCGACAGAGTGAGACTGTCTCAAAAAAAAAAAAAAGGAAAGATCCTTATCAAAAATTGAAAGGCCGGGTGCGGTGGCTCACGCCTGTAATCCCAGCACTTTCGGAGGCCGTGGTGGGTGGATCACGAGGTCAGCAGTTAAGAGACCAGCCTGGACAACATGGGGAAACCCTGTCTCTACTAAAAATACAAAAAAATTAGCCAGGCGTGGTGGCGGGCGACCTTGCTGGGTGTAATTAACATCCAGTGACTTGGGAGGCCTGAGGCAGGACAATCGCTGGAAACTGGAAGGCGGAGCTTGCAGTGAGCCAAGATCGCGCCACTGCACTCTAATCTGGGCAATAAGAGCAGAACTCCGTCTCAAAAAAAAAAAAAAAAAAAAAAAATTGAAAGGGAGCCAGGGAAGCTGCAGAAAGGTGCCGTAGCCCTGTGAGGACGGTGTCACTCCCAGTTCCTGTATTTGTGGGCTGGAAAGGGAATTGCCCCCAAACTTTTCTGGTTTTGATTTGAGTCTTACTTTGAGGATCAGTCGACTTAAGTAGAAGTTTTTAGTTAGTTACAACTTGAATGTAGCTAATATGTGTTTTTAATTACAAATCTCAGTACTTTGCTGCCTTGGAAAACCCAAAGGCTTCCTACAATGTTAGAAGCGACAGTAAGTGGGTTTGTGTACATGCTCTGTTCCGGGTGGGTCCTCAGAACAGCACGTCTGCAAAGTTAAATTTCGGTCCTATAGGAAGATGGGGATGAACTTCCATCACTGAAAGGGGAAACTGGTGGGATAAATGGAGACATTAATTGGCTTCTGTCCCAGACAAATGCCTTGAGCCTTATAAATGAGACCCCAAATTAGCTGCTTCCTGATCCTAGGACAATAGAGGAGAGTGAGGCTTGCTGAAAAAGCGGGATAAAGGTGTGACCCCTGTGTTCTTTTGAAAATTGTAACAAGTAATAGTTCATGGAAAACTGGTGAAATCCTAGAGTGTGTCATTAAAGGAAGCCTTTGTGAGCACTGTGAGAGGAAATGGGAATGCTCCCAGATCCAACCTGGATCAGGAAAACCAAGCCCTGTGTTGTTTTATCCTGTTTCTTTGAGTTCGTAGGATTGTAATAGATACTGTTAATATTTAGCTAACATTGGCCGGGCGCGGTGGCTCACGCCTGTAATCCCAGCACTTTGGGAGGCCGACGTGGGCGGATCACGAGGTCAGGAGATCGAGACCATCCTGGCTGACACGGTGAAATCCCGTCTCTACTAAAAAATACAAAAAATTAGCCGGGTGTGGTGGCGGGCGCCTGTAGTCCCAGCTACTCGGGAGGCTGAGGCCGGAGAATGGCGTGAACCCGGGAGGCGGAGCTTGCAGTGAGCCGAGATCGCAGCACTGCACTCCAGCCTGAGCGACAGAGCGAGATTCTTGTCTCAAAAAAAAAATAATAATAGTTTTGCTAACATTGCGTACCAGCTTTGCACCAGGCACTGTGCTCGTTACTAAGCAATGTCTGGAATCTCACACGTAAGCGCTCAATAATAATCAGGTGAGCCTGCATTGTGCAGATGGGAAAAGCTGAATGGGAAGTAGTTAAGGAACTTGCTGAAAGCTGCATGGCTAATAATTCAAATACAGAATTCAGTTCATCTGTGTCACTGAAGAGTCTCATTAGGCCATACTACCTTTTGCTCTTCATTAAAACTATTTTCTTGAAATACTATATTCCCCCTTATTAATATATTCTAAAGTGATCATTTAAAGTATTTAAACTTTTTTTTTTTTTTTTTTTTTTGGAGACAGAGTCTCTCTCTGTCACCCAGGCTGGAGTGCAGTGGTGCAACCTCGGCTCACTGCAAGCTCCGCCTCCCGGGTTCACACCATTGTCCTGCCTCAGCCTCCAGAGTAGCTGAGACTACAGGCGCCCGCCACCAGGCCCGGCTAATTTTTTGTATTTTTAGTAGAGACCGGGTTTCACCGTGTTAGCCAGGATGGTCTCGATCTCCTGACCTCGTGATCCGCCTGCCTCGGCCTCCCAAAGTGCTGGGATTACAGGTGTGAGCTACCGCGCGCGGCCACATTTTCGAGGTCAGTACATGTTTCATGATTAATACGTGTCTTGGAAAAGCTGCAATACGCATATTCACCAGTGTATTAGATTTGAAATATAAATGATACAATTATTTAGAGCTCAGGTGGCTACTGTCCAAAAAGTTTATTTTGTAGGTTAAGGTTTTGGCAATTTTTGTTTTTTTAATTTAGCTTAATTTGGAAATTTAAAAAAAAAATTTACAATTGAGTACTTCATTTCAATTTACGATACTTCACCTTGGACAAATAGAGCCACAGTTTACATGGAGAACAGCGATTATGGGTTGTCAAGTTACCTCAGTGCCGTGACAGTTTTCTAGAGAACCAAAGCCTTAATACCTGAAGGTCATATTCGTTTGTAGCTGCTTTTGGTGGAGACATTTCCAGTGGGCCTGCCTTCTAGGAAACGGTCTCAGCTCCTGCTTTGGGGCAGAGCCTGGGTTGGCCCTTGTAGCACCAGTTCACTGTGCTGGACTGGAGGTAGCCGGCCTGCTGTGTATAAGGGGAGACAGAAAGTTATTTTTTCATTTTTATGTGAGACAGGGTCTTGCTCTATCGCCCAGGCTGCAATGCAGTGGCACGATCATGGCTCACTGACCTCAGCATCCTGGGCTCCAGGGATCCTCCTGCTTCAGCCTCCCGAGTCGCTAGCACCACAGGCGTGCACCACCGCGTTTGGCTAATTTTTGTATTTTTTGTGGAGATGGAGTTTCACCATGTTTCCCAGGCTGGTCTCGAACTCCTGGGTTTAAGCAATCCGTCCACCTCAGCCTCCCAAAGTGCTGGGATTACAGGCGTGAGCCGCCGCGCCCGGCCTGGAAGTGTTCTTGTATGCTGTTCCTGTATTTTTAAAGTAAACTTTTACTCAAGTGTAACGTAGAAACATAAACCAAACCAAAGGTGTATAGCTTCATGCATTTTCACAAAGGGAATGCACCATTTAACCACCGCCCACATCAAGAAATAGAACAGGACCAGCATCCTATAAGACCCCGTTATGACCCCCTCCCAGTGTTTACTCTCTTACCCCCAAAATGGAAACTAGTGTTTTATCAACTTCAGTTAGTCTTGGTAGTTTCTGAATTTGATAGAAATGGAATCATACAGTATTTTCTGGAGTTTTATCTGTCAGCGTGTTTGTGGTATGAATCCATGTCATTGTGATAATAGCGTGTTTTCATAGCTATGTAGTATTCTGTGGCAATTGTATACCACTGTTCTGTGGATGGACATTGGAGTATTTTCATGTTTTGGATGTTACAAATAATGTTACGAATATTCTTGGACATGTATTTTGGCATATACATGTGTGCATTTATAAGTAATTAACTGGGTCATTAGAGATGAACAGTAGATAAACTATAAAAGTTTTTTAAATGAGTTGTACTATTTTACAGTCCTATCAGCTGGGTTTGAGAGTTCCAGCTACTCCACATCCTCACTGACGTTGGATAAGATCACTTTTTTTTTTTTTCCTAGAGAGACAGGGTCTCACTCTATCACTCTGGTGAGCATGCAGTAGCATGGTAATAGTTCATTGCATTCTTAAACTCCTGGGCTCAAATGATCCTCCCATCTCAGCCTCTTTTTTTTTTTTTTTTTCGAGATGGAGTTTCACTCTTGTTGCCCAGGCTGGAGTGTAGTGGCGCGATCTCAGCTCACTGCAACCTCTGCCTCCCGGGTTGAAGTGATTCTCCTGCCTCAGCCTCCCGAGTAGCTGGGATTACAGGCGCCCACCACCACACCTGGCTAATTTTGTGTTTTAGGAGAGACGGGGTTGGCCATGATGGCCAGGCTGGTCTCGAACTGCTGACCTCAGTTCATCTTGCCTCCCAACTTTGCCTTGGCCTCCCAAAGTGCTGGGATTACAGGCGTGAGCCACCAGCCCCACCTCAGCCTCTTGAGTAGCTAGGACTGTAAGTGTGTGTCACCATGCCTGGGTAATTTAATTTATTTATTATTATTTTTTGGTAGAGATGGAGTCTCACTACATGGCCCAGGCTGGTCAGGAACTCCTGGTCTCAGGCGATCCTCCAGCCTCAGCCTCTCTGAGCACTGAGATTACAGGCATGAGCCACTATATCAGCCTGATCATTGTTTAGTTACAGTGATGCTGGTGGGTATGTAGGTGGGTATGTAGGAGGTTTAATTCTGGCTTGAGTTTGCATTTCTCTGATTACTAATGAGGTTAAGCACTTTGTAATATATTGAACATTTGGATATCTCTGTTGTTACATGCACACTTTTTGCCCGGTTTTCTGTTGGGATGTCGTTTTGATACCGATTTCTAAGCGTCTTTATTTAGTATGTTTTTGGAGTTGTTTTTGTTACTGTCTTCTTCCATGCCGTGCCTTGCTTTTTCATTCTCTTAATGATGTCTTTTGAGGAACAGAAGCCCTTAATTTTAATACAGTCCAGTTTATCCATCTTTTCCTTTAAGGTAAGCACTTTCTATGTCCTATTTAAAAAATACTTGTCTATTCTAAGATCATAAATCTTTTTTTTTTTTTTGAGACGGAGTCTCAATCTTATGCCCAGGCTGGAGGGCAGTGGCGCCATCTTGGCTCACTGTAACCTCCACCTCTCAGGTTCAAGCGATTCTCCTGCCTCAGCCTCCCAAGTAGCTGGGATTACAGGTGCGCTCCACCACGCCAGGCTAATTTTTTTTTTTTTTTTTTTGAGACGGAGTTTCGCTCTCGTTGCCTAGGCTGGAGTGCAATGGCAAGATCTCGGCTCACCGCAACCTCTACCTCCCAGGTTCAAGCGATTCTCCTGCCTCAGCCTCCTGAGTAGCTGGGATTACAGGCATGCACCACCACGCCTGGCTAATTTTGTATTTTTAGTAGAGACAGGGTTTCATCATGTTGGCCAGGCTGGTCTCGAACTCCTGACCTTAGGTGATCTGCCTGCCTTGGCCTCCCAAAGTGCTGGGATTACAGGCGTGAGCCACCACGCCCGGCCAGGTCATGAATCTTTTATGTTATTTTCTAGGAATGGTTTGCCTGTCATGGCTAGATGTAGAATCATCTAGAATCTATTTCGTGCATGGTATGAGGGAGATGGTTAAAATTTTTTCCATATAGAGATCCAATGGTCCTAGCACAATGTATTTCCTCATCGGTCTATTTGTCCTAATGCCAGTGCCACACTAGATTTAAAATAATTCAATATTCGGTAACGTGAGGCCTCCAGGTTTGCTGTTCAAGATTTTATTGGTTTTTGCATTTCCGCATACATTTAAGAATCAGTTTGTCGATTTCAGTAACAGACCAGCAACAACAGAAACCTGCTGGGATTTTGCTTATGATTTTATTAAATCTATAAATCGATCTGGGGAGCTATTAACATTTTTTTTTTTTTTGAGATGGAATCTCACCCTGTCTCCCAGGCTGGAGTGCAGTGGCGTGATCTCGGCTCACTGCAAGCTGTGCGTATCAGTAGTTTATTCCTTTTATTCCTTTCATTCCTTTTATTGCTGAGACGTATTCCATTGTTTGATATACCTCAATTTGTTTATTCACCTATTTGATGGACATTTGGGTGTTTCCAGTTTTTGTCCATGACAAATAAAGCACCTGTAAGTGTTTGCGTATAAGTCTTTATATGGGCATGTCGTTCCTTTCTTGTGGATAAATGGCGGAATGGTTGGATGGCATGGCAGGAGTATATTTAACTTTTTTGGAAACTATCCAGTAGTTTTACAAGGTGGTACCATTTGACGTTTTCACCAGTGCATATGAACGCTCCCATTCCTCCACATCATCTCCAGCACTCAGCATAGTCCGGCATTGACATCTTGCCTCTCCGATAGGTTTATGGTGGTATCTTGCACTTTTAATGCCTATTTTCTAGTGACTAGGAATTGATATTGACCATCTTGTTATGTGCCATTTGCCATCTCTATATTTTCTTTTTCTTTTTTTTTTTTTTTTTTGAGACGGAATCTCGCTCTGTTGCCCAGCCTGGAGTGCAGTGGTGCGATCTCGGCTCACTGCAACCTCCGCCTCCTGGGTTCAAGCGATTTTCCTGCCTCAGCCTCCCAAGTAGCTGGGACTACAGGAGCGCACCACCACGCCCGGCTAATTTTTTCTATTTTTAGTACAGATGGGGTTTCACCGCGTTAGCCAGGTTGGTCTCGATCTCCTGACCTCGTGATCCGCCCGCCTCGGCCTCCCAAAGTGCTGGGATTACAGGCGTGAGCCACCGCGCCCGGCCTGTTTGGGCCTTCTTTAACTTAAGTAATGTTTTGTGCTGTTCAGTGTGTACAGGTCTGTCAATGATTGTCTCACATCTTCCCCTGAGCATTTAATAATGTTTGATGGGACTGCAAATGCTTGCTTTTTACATTTCAAAGCTTTCTTTTGATTGCTCGTTGCTACTTTAAAGAAATATAATTTATTTTTGTCTATTAATATTTTAGTCTGCAACCCTGCTAAACGGACGTATTAGTTCTAGTGGGCTGCTTTCTTTTGCTTGTAAATTCCTTCAGGTTTTCTACATAATCATGTCTATGAATCTATACAGTTTTAATTCTTTTATGCGTTTATCTTGCCCACTTGCACTGGCTGGAACCACTAGTACAACTTGTGTGTGTGTGTGTGTGTGTGGTTTTTGTTTCTTTGTTTTGAGGCGGATTCTCACGCTGTTATTCAGGCTGGAGTGCAGTGGCACAATCTCAGCTCCTGCAACCTCTGCCTCCCCGGTTAAAGTGATCCTCCCACGTCAGCCTCTCGAGTAGCTGGGACTACATGCGTGCCACCAGGCCCAGCTAATTTTTGTATTTTTTGTAGAGACGGAGTTTCTCCACGTTGAGATGGAGTTTCTCCCAGGCTAGTCTCGAACTCCTGGGCTGAAACGATCCTCCCGCCTCAGTCTCCCAAAGTGTTGAGATTACAGGCACAAGCCACTGTGCCTGGCCCTGATTCTTTTTAAAATTTGTTTTTCTGGGCTGGACATGGGTGCTCAAGGCGGGTGGATCACCTGCCTCAGCCTCCTGAGTAGCTGGGACTACAGGTGCACACCACCATGCCCGGCTAATTTTTGTATTTTATTAGAGACGGGGTTTCACCATATTGGCCAGACTGGTCTCGAACTCTTTTTTTTTTTTTTTTTTTTTTTTTTTTTTTGAGACGGAGTCTCGCTGTCTCCCAGGCTGGAGTGCAGTGGCGCGATCTCGGCGCACTGCAGCCTCCGGCTCCCAGGTTCAATAGATTCTCCTGCCTCAGCCTCGCTAGTAGCTGCGACTGCAGGCGTGTGCCACCACACCTGGCTAATTTTTCTATTTTTAGTAGAGATGGGGTTTCACCAGATTAGCTAGGCTGGTCTTAAACTCCTGACCTCACCTCAAGTGACCCACCCACCTTGGCCTCCCAACGTGTGGGGATTACAGGTGTGAGCCACTGCACCCGGCCAAGTGTTCTCTTTTCACCATATCTAAGCCAACATTTATTGCTTTTTGACTTTTAAATTACAACCATTCTTGTAGGAGTAAGGTGGTCTCTCCTTCTGGTAATTTAATTTGCATTTCCTTGATGATTAGTGATTTTGAGCATTTTTTTCATATGTGTTGCCTGTTTGTGTATCTTCTTCTAGAAATATCTATTCATGTCCTTTGCCCACTTTTTTTGTTTGTTTGAGATGGAGTTTCACTCTTGTTGCCCAGGCTGGAGTGCAGTGGCGCAATCTGGGCTCACTGCAACCTCCACCTCCTGGGTTCAAGCGATTCTCCCACCTCAGCCTCCCGAGTAGCTGAGATTACAGGTGCCCGCCACCACAGCTGGATAATTTTGTGTTTCTAGTAGAGACAGGGTTTCATCATGTTGTCCAGGCTGGTCTCGAACTCCTGACCTCAGGTGACCCACCTGCCTTGGTCTCCCAAAGTGCTGGGATTACAGGTGACAGCCCCTGTGCCCAGCCGTTCTTGGCGTCTTGAACAAGGAACTGGACAAAACGCACAAAGCAAGCAAGGGAGCAGTGAGGGATTTATTGGAAATGAAAGCACACTCCACAGTGTGGGGGCAGCCCGGGCACAGGGGCTCAGAGGCCGCCTTGCAGAGTTTTTGTGAGTTTGAATACCCTCTACTTGGGGTACGCCGTATGTGAAAGGAGAGGAGGTAGGAAAGTTACAAAGTCATTTACTTGGCTTACGCCCCACGGAGGGGATGTTTCCTGTCATAGCTGAAGTGTGAATGTGCCTTATGTTCCCTGACTCCAGACCCTATTTTCCTGCCTCAAAAAGACCAACATGGCCCCATACGAGTTTCTAATCTCGGTGCTCGAGGGAATTAAGGCAGATACTCAGGTTAGTATGATACAAGGCAGAATATGATTAGTGAGATGAGGTGCAGTCATAACACGTAACATTGTATATGGATAACAGATCTATAGTAACTTACACAGTATTTTTTCATGTATTATCTGTTTTTTGGCTTCATAATAATCTTTTGGTTAAGATAGAAATTATCAGTCTCATTTTACAAAATTAAGTATTGAGACGCTTGTCGAAGGTGAAGTGGGTGTGAAATGATGCGGAATAGATTTAAATCCAGGTCATCAGGTCATCAGTCTCCCGAGTCCAGTGTGTTCTTGGTGAGACCATTCTGCTTTCCTTGCTGGTGCTTCTGCTTCACACAGTGGCACTGCCTGTCACCCAGTATTTCCGTTTTAACAGCACGACTGTCTTTTGTCTTTTTTTTTTTGTTGTTGAGACGGAGTCTTGCTCTGCCGCCCAGGTTTGAGTGCAATGACATGATCTCAGCTCACTGCGACCTCCACCTCCCGGGTTCAAGCGATTCTCCTGTCTCAGCGTCCCAAGGAGCTGGGATTACAGGTGCCCGCCACCATGCCCGGCTAATTTTTGTATTTTTAGTAGAGATGGGGTTTCACCATATTGGCCAGACTGGTCTTGAACTCCTGACCTCGTGACCCCGGGCCAATGCGCCCGGCCTCTTTTGTCTTACTGTAGTATTTGTGCAGCTAACTTGAATTTTAAGTATTTTGGGCCAGGCATGGTGGCTCACGCCTGTAATCCCAGCACTTTGGGAAGTGCTGCTTGAGCTCAGGAGGTCAAGACCAACTTAGGCAACATGGAGAAACACTGTCTCTATAAAAAATACCAAAAATTAGTCAGGTGTGGTGGCGGGCGCCCGTAGTCCCAGCTACTTGTGGGGCTGAGGCAGGAGGATCACTTGAACCTGGGAGGTTGAGGAGGCTGCAGTGAGCCGAGACTGTGCCACTGCACTCCAGCCCGGGTGACAAAGTGAGACCCTGTCTTAAAAACAAAAAAAAAAAAAAAAAGAAACTTGTTGGCTCGATTTCAGTGTTCTTCAGACTTTGGTTGGTTGACTGCATGTACTATTGCGAGGGAAAAACATTCCATTTCAATAGCTTTCCCACCCCATGTGCCAGATGCTAAATTGCTTCCACTTGGAGAAAATACTTCTACTTGGAGAAAATGAAGATATCAGGGATAATAGACAAAGGAAAAGTAAGATCCTTTGTTTGTTTGTTTCAGAATGTTGAGTTATTTGGGTGAAAAACAGTAAATAGTTAGGCCCCAAATAGAGAGGCATTAATATTTATCTATTTTAAATAGATATCATTTTTAGGGGGAAATGAAAAGGATTACACACTCTGTTCATTCAAAACTGTGAAGTGGCTCAAGTTATGTATTTTCAGTATCACTATGGTCTGTCACTTAATCTGATTTTGTATTCTCTGCCAAAAATGTTTTTAAATTTTCTGTTTTGTCCTGGGTCATATAAAAGTGGGTCTGGAGCAAAGAACGGAAGGACTGAACTATTTTTGAAAGAACGTGACCACCTTTGAAAGCAGGTGTTATTGAATATATGTGTGTTATGTGGTTTTCCATGTTTATTAATTCATTGACTTGTGTAGCAAATGTTTTATGTTTTCATAGAAAGTGCTTTATCCATGCAAATTCATTTTATTCTCCTAATGACTTTTTTCATTAGAAAAGGAATTGCAGGGCCGGGCACGGTGGCTCACACCTGTAATCCCAGCACTTTGGGAGGCCGAGGCGGGCGGATCACGAGGTCAGGGGTTCGAGACCAGCCTGGCTAACACGGTGAAACCCCGTCTCTACTAAAAATTCAAAAAATTAGCCAGGCTTGGTGGGGGGTCGCCTGTAGTCCCAGCTACTCAGGAGGCTGAGGCAGGAGAATCACTTGAACCCGGGAAGCGGACGTTGCAGTGAACCGATATCGCACCACAGCACTCCAGCCTGAGGGACAGAGTGAGACTCCGTCTCAGTCAGTCAATCAATCAATCAATCAAAGCTGTTGAAATCAGAACACAGAAGGGTCAAGACTTGTTGAGTGCTCCCCGCGTTGGAGCCAGCTGTTGGTGTGTCTGAATCTGTTGATGTGACTGATTCCCACAAGGGGGCGCTCTCTCCTAGGGTGTGTGTAGCTTGCGGCATTCACAGGTTCGGTACTGCTTTTTGTGTTTGGTAGAAGACCACCATAAAAAGTATTTTGCATTGCATCCAAAATTATATGAACACATTCTTGGGGAACACAGTCATTTTTAACGGATAGCATCTTCTAGTAGCACAAAATAAAGATGAGATGGCACTGTGTTTTTTATTGCCTCAAGAAGAAGCGGTTAGAAATGCAGTTTACTTTGAAAAGATGATTTGATGCTGAAACGAGTGAACCATTTCATTACTCCGTAACACGTGTAGTAAAACTCTTCTAGTGGCCGGGCGCGGTGGCTCACGCCCATAATCCCAGCACTTTGGGAGGCCGAGGTGGGCGGATCACCTGAGGTCAGGAGATGGAGACCAGCCTGGCCAACATGGCAAAACCCTGTCTCTACTAAAAATACAAAAATTAGCCGGGCGTGGTGGCGGGCACCTGTAATCCCAGCTACTCAGGAGGATGAGGCAGGAGAATCGTTTGAACCCGGGAGGCGGAGGTTGCAGTGAGCTGAGATCACGCTACTGCATTCCACCCTGAGCAACAGAGCGAGACTCCATCTCAAAAAACAAAAACAAAAACAAAAAACAATCGTTTCCCCAAAAGTGGCAAGTTTTTACTAAATGAATATGGCAGTTTGTGTTTTTCACCCTGGAACACGCCCTTGCGTCCTCTCTGTTTCCTGTTCTATCCTCTGTTGCGTGCTCTACTGGCTGGGGCCCCGTTGTTTTCAACCTGACTCCATGGCAGCCACCTCTGAGCCAGTGCCCTGCCTCTCATGTAACCCCTCTCAACCTACCCTGCACAGAGCTGCCTCCTTATCTTCCTCAGCAGCTTACAACTTGTCATCACTCTCTTCAAGGACACGGTGCAGCTCCCTGTTGTTTGTGACCGTGTGTGGTGGTACCCATGAGATGTCTGACCAGCCCTTTGCTTCATACGTTAGACCCAAAACACACAACAGCATGGTGGCTCACACCTGTTTTTGTTTGTTTGTTTGTTTGTTTTTGAGACAGAGTCTTGCTCTGTCGCCCAGGCTGGAGTGCAGTGGCGCGATCTCAGCTCACTGCAAGCTCTGCCTCCCAGGTTCACGCGATTTTCCTGCCTCAGCCTCCCGAATAGTTGGGACTACAGGTGCCTGCCACCACGCCCAGCTAATTTTTGTATTTTTAGTAGAGACGGGGTTTCACCGTGTCAGCCAGGATGGTCTCGATCTCCTGACCTTGTGATCTGCCTGCTTCAGCCTCCCAAAGTGCTGGGATTACAGGCCTGAGCCACCGCACCCGGCCTGGAGTTTTGCTCTTGTTGCCCAGGCTGGAGTTCAATGGCATGATCTCAGCTCACTGCAACCTCCACCTCCCGGGTTCAAGCGATTCTCCTGCCTCAGCCTCCCGAGTAGCTGGGATTACAGGCATGCACCACCACGCCCAGCTAATTTTGTATTTTTAGTAGAGACAGGGTTTCACCATGTTGGCCAGGCTGGTCTTGAACTCCTGACTTCAGGTGGTCCTCCTGCCTTGGCCTCCCAAAGTGCTGGGATTACAGGCATGAGCCACTGCACCCGGCCGGCTCATATCTGTTATTCCAGCACTTTGGGAGGCCAAGGCAGAGGGGTTACTTGAGCCCAGGAGTTCAAGACCAGCCTGGCCAACATAGCAAGACCCTGTCTCTTAAAACACACACACTAACCAAATACTTGGAGACATGGCAGGGAACGGCATACACTGGGGCCCGTCGGGGAGAGGGGCAGGGGAGGGAGAGCATCCGGAAGAATAACTAATAGATCCTGGGCTTAATACCCAGGGGATGGATTGATCTATGCAGCAAACCACCATGGCACATGTTTACCCATGTAACAAACCTGCACCTCCTGCACAGGTACCCCAGAACTTACACACACACACACACACACACACACACACACACACCCCAATACAATTGTGTTCACTTACTGAGGTAATGGTACTTGCTTTTTTTTTGGTTTGAGACAGAGTCTCACTCTGTCATCCAGGCTGGAGTGCATTGGTGCGATCTCGGCTCACTGCATGCAACCTCCGCCTCCCGGGTTTAAGCGATTCCCCCTGCCTCAGCCTCCCGAGTAGCTGGGATTACAGGTGCCTGCCACCACACCAGGCTCACTTTTATATTTTTAGTAGAGAGGGGGTTTCGCCATGTTGGCCAGGCTGGTCTCGAACTCCTGAGCTCAGGTGATGTGTCTGCCTTGGCCTCCCAAAGTGCCGGGATTACAGCTGTGAGCCACTTTGCCCAGCTGAATCGGATACTATTAGGCTATAAGAAAGTCACTAAATTACTCGAGTTTCGTTTTTTTATCTGCACAATGGGCTGTAGCAACTTTGCGAACTTGTAGAGACAACATCAAATAAAGGATCACCAGGGTACAAAATTCCTCAGAATGTTCTCAAGAAATAATGTGGGGGCCCGGGCAGTTTTCCACTAGACTGCCAGTCCCCGGAGAGCTGGGGGGCATGTGCTGTTCATCTCTGTATCATGTGCATGAACTTTATGCAGAAACTGTCATGTCACTCCTGAATTAGGCTCAACCCATCTCGGAGCCCCTATCCTACTGGGCTACCAAAAGTGAAATCAATCTTAGTCATACTGAGTCTCCTTCCCTTTGCCTCTTGCGTTATGCAGAGTTCCCAAGAGTCTTTCACCGTCCGGGCATTTGAGGAAAACACTCAAATCCACACTGGACCCCCCTGAGATGCTGCCAACTGAGCCACGTAATCCCTTGAAGCTGCCAGTGTCTGAGAGAGGTCTCTGCTAAGGATGCCCTGGGTTTTTGGTGGGCCGCATCCCACCGGTCAAGGGGCTGGCACTCCCAGGGGAACTGTGAGGGAGGGGACATAGGCGGGAGCAGTCACAGGTTGGCACCAGTGGCCTGTCCTCCCCACCACTCCCTAGTCTCCGGGGAAGCTCTATGGAGTTCCCTCTGCCTCCCAACGTCCTGCCCTCCCACCCCATGCCGGAGTTGCTTCTCCTCTCTCGGTGGGGATGGGAAGGCAAAGGAAGGAGAGGCTGACCCCCTCATAACTCACCCCGGGGCAGTGGCCTCAGCATCTGGCACACTGTCTGCATTAAGTGGTTGCTGAGTGACTGGGGAAAGGAATACAAGCAAACGCTGTCGGGTTTTAACACCAATTTGCTTGTGTGCATGAGCTCAGGACCCAAAGCCCATCTTCAGAGGTGGTCCTGAGTCACCTCCTGCTGACCCCATAGAGCCGGAGCGGGCACCTCTGCAGCTCCGTGGACTAACCCTCTTCCTTAGAACTGTGGGGTACTGGGTCAGAGTCCTTCCAGCTGTCTCTGTGGGGTACTGGGTCAGAGTCCTTCCAGTGGTCTCTGTGGGGTACTGGGTCAGAGTCCTTCTAGCAATCTCTGTGGAGTACCGAGTCAGAGTCCTTCTAGCGGTCTCTGTGGGGTACTGGCTTAGAGTCCTTCCAGTGGGCCCTCTGAGGTACTGGGTCAGAGTCCTTCCAGCAGTCTCTGTGGTGTACTTGGTCAGGGTCCTTCCAGTGGTCTCTGTCGGGTACTGGGTCAGAGTCCTTCCAGTGGGCCCTCTGGAGTACTGGGTCAGAGTCCTTCCCATGGTTTCTGTGGGGTACTGGGTCAGAGTCCTTCCAGCAGTCTCTGTGGGGTACCGGGCCAGAGTCCTTCCAGTGGTCCCTGTGGGGTACTGGGTCAGAGTCCTTCCAGTGGTCTCTGTGGGGTACTGGGTCAGAGTCCTTCCAGTGTTTCTCTGTGGGATACTGGATCAGAGTCCTTCCAGCGGTCTCTGTGGGGTACTGGGTCAGAGTCCTTCTGGCTGTCTCTGTGGGGTACTGGCTCAGAGTCCTTCCAGCTATCTCTGTGGGGTACAGGGTCAGAGTCCTTCTGGCTATCTCTGTGGGGTACTGGGTCAGAGTCCTTCCAGGGTTTCTCTGTGGGGTACTGGATCAGAGTCCTTCCAGCGGTCTCTGTGGGGTACTGGCTCAGAGTCCTTCCGGCTATCTATGTGGGGTACAGGGTCAGAGTCCTTCCGGCTATCTCTGTGGGATACCGGGTCAGAGTCCTTCCAGTGTTTCTCTGTGGGGTACTGGATCAGAGTCCTTCCAGCAGTCTCTGTGGGGTACTGGCTCAGAGTCCTTCCGGCTGTCTCTGTGGGGTACTGGCTCAGAGTCCTTCCGGCTGTCTCTGTGGGGTACTGGGTCAGAGACCCGTGCCAGGCCACTTCCTCCTTGTTTTAAAACCTATGGGAGGGACTGCATAACGGGTATGGTGATTTCTTTTGGAATCATGAGGTGTTTTCAAACCACGTAGAAGTGGTAGTTACACAAATGGGAATGTACTCAATGCCACTGAATTGTGCCATTTATTTATTTACTTTTTGAGACGGATTCTTACTCCGTCGTCCAGGCTGGAGGGCAATGGTGTGATCTCGGCTCACTGCAACCTCCGCCTCCCAGGTTCAAGGGATTCTCCTGCCTCACCCTCCCTAGTAGTTGGGACTACAGGCACCCACCACCACGCCCAGCTAATTTTTGTATTTTTAGTAGAGACGGGGTTTTGCCACGTTGGCCAGGCTGGTCTCGAACTCCTGACCTCAGGTGATCCACCCTCCTCGGCCTCTTGGCCTCCCAAAGTACTGGGATTACAGGCGTGAGCCACCGCACCCAGCCAGAATTGTACACTTTAAAAAGAAAACAAAGACAAAAACTATCTTTCTTAGTTTAAGCTACTATAACAAATTACCATAGACTGGGTAGTTTGAACAACCTATATTTCCCACCGTTCTGGAGGCTGGGAAGTCTGAGGTGAAGGTGCAGGCAGACCCAGCGTCGGCCGAGGGTCCTGGTTTGCAGATGGACACTCCGTCCCCACCTGGCAGACAGCAGAGACAGAGAGACAGAGCAAGCCTCGTGTCTCTGTTTTTTGAGACGGAGTCTTGCTCTATCCCCCAGGCTGGAGTGCAGTGGCGTGATCTCGGCTCACTGCAAGCTCCGTCTCCCGGGTTCAGGCCATTCTCCTGTCTCAGCCTCCCAAGTAGCTGGGACTATGGGCTCCCACCCCACACCCGGCTAATTTTTTGGTATTTTTAGTAGAGACGGGGTTTCACCGTGTTAGTCGGGATGGTCTCGATCTCCTGACCTCATGATCCACCCACCTTGGCCTCCCAAAGTGCTGGGATTACAGGCGTGAGCCACCGCGCCAGGCCCCCTATATCTCTTCTTAAAAGGTCACTAAGCTTGGCCAGGTGCGGTGGCTCACGCCTATAATCCCAGCACTTTGGGAGCCCGAGGTGGGTGGATCACCTGAGTTTGGGAGTTTGAGACCAACCTGACCAACATGGAGAAACCCTGTCTCTACTAAAAATACAAAATTAGCCGGGTGTGGTGGCGGGCGCCTGTAATCCCAGCTACTCGGGGGGCTGAGGCAGAAGAATCGCTTGAACCCAGGAGGCAGAAGTTGTGGTGAGCCAAGATCACACCACTGCACTCCAGCCTGGGCAACAAGAGCAAAACTCCATCTCCAGAAAGAAAAAACAAAAACAGCCACTAATGTCATTCATGAAGGCTCTGCCTGCCTGACCGAATCATCTCTCAAAGCCCCACATCCTAATACCATCACATTGGAGGTTCAGATGTCCACATATGAATTTTTTTTTTTTTGAGACGGAGTCTTGCTCTGTTGCCCAGGCTGGAGTGCAGTGGTACGATCTCTGCTCACTGCAAGCTCCGTCTCCCGGGTTCACGCCATTCTCCTGCCTCAGCCTCCCAAGTAGCTGGGACTACAGGTGCCCATCACGACGCCCGGCTAATTTTTTGTATTTTTAGTAGAGACAGGGTTTCACCGTGTTAGCCAGGATGGTCTTGATCTCCTGACCTCGTGATCCGCCCTCCTCGGCCTCCCAAAGTGCTGGGATTACAGGCGTGAGCCACCGCGCCCAGCCGTCCACATATGAATTTTAGAGGGACACAAATATTCAGTCCATAACACTACCTAAATGGTCCTTCCTGTTTTCTTTTTTGTTTTTGAGATGGAGTCTCACTCTTTTGCCCAGGCTGGAGTACAGTAGCACAATCTCGGCTCATTGCAACCTCTGCCTCCCAGGTTCAAGTGATTCTCTTGCCTCAGCCTCCTGAGTAGCTGGGACTACAGGCGGGCGCCACCATGCCAGGCTAATTTTTATATTTTTAGGAGAGATGGGGTTTTCCCATGTTGGCCAGGCTGGTCTCGAACTCCTGACCTCAAGTGATCCTCCTGCCTCGGCCTCCCAAAGTGCTGGGATTTCAAGTGTGAGCCACTGTGCCCGGCCCAGACTGCATTTTTAAATTATTTGAATTATGTTTTTAACAAGAGAAATAGGTTGCTTTGAAAACATCAGTATTGAAAACATGTTTCTTAATGGATGGATGGAGACTGTTCTGTTTAGCCAAGAGCACTTCAGAAGCTCCACTCTGGTAGGAGATTGGAGCACTGAACCATTAATGGAGCCGTGAGCCCTGTGCATCGGATCATATCCGATCATTTATGGTGGTGCACAGTTGGCGACTATGGCGTCTGGGCCGTGGCTCCTCTGGAACCCCATCAAGCACGACTTGATATTTATATTTAACTGAACATGGTTCCAGCTTTTAAACTTCCTGCTGAAGGTGACCTATGCAAAGAGAACCCAAGAGTGGCTCTCCCAGCTCGCCTCGGATAAGGGTCTTGCTAATTTCCCTTCTCACAGCCGCTTTCCGCTTCCAGCACGGCTTCCCACCCGGGACACTGTCTAGGCGTGTAGGTGCTATGCTGTAGACGCTAGGTAGGTAAGTGCCTCATCCAAGTTGATACCCTTTTAAGAAAGCAATGGAGAATTCACAGTAAATGCTTGATCTTGTAACACCTCTTTGTGACTCTATTCTGGTCCTGCTGTTTGATCCAGCCCATTTATTAGTTCATAAAAATTTCACATAAACTAAATTTCATCTCCTAGGCTGAGTTCTATCAGATTAATATTTAACTCCAAGGAAATGTGGACATTTGCCTTAAAGAAGTTGTTTATTCCAGGAAAGAATCTATATTGTTATTATTTGAATGTCTTTGATTATGGTATGAAATTTTATTTTAGCCCAAAGCTCCCAGCAATCTTCTGTTGAAAATGGCAAATTTTCATGGATCAATCCACTGGTCTAGCATCTAAGCATTTTTATTACATTTTTTTCTGACAAAATCAATATGTGTTTATTATAGAAAATATGGATCAAGGCCGGGTGCAGTAGCGCACGCCTTTAATCCCAGAACTTTGGGAGGCCGAGGTGGGTGGATCACCTGAGGTCAGGAGTTTGAGACCAGCCTGGCCAACATGGTGAAACCCCGTCTCTACTAAAAATACAAAAATTAGCCGGGCTTGGTGGCAGGCACCTGTGATCCCACCTACTTGGGAGGCTGAGGCAGAAGAATTGCTCAAATGCGGGAGGCAGAGATTGCAGTGAGCCGAGATCGCGCCATTGCACTCCAGCCAACAAGAACGAGACTCTGTCTCAAAAAAAAAAAAAAAAAAAAAAGGATCAGATAGAAAAATAAAAATACAAGGAAAATAAAAATTATCTGTTTCCCCAACATTCTATGATAATAGCTGTTAACACTGCATATTTTTGTTTTAAATGTCTAAAAACTTCCAAGCATTTTTTTTTTACAAAATTGGGATCATATGGTACATCCATTTTTCATGTAACAGCATGCATAGCTTCTCGTGTCATTAAACTTTCATATGAAGCATACTTTGTAATGGCTGCATTGAATTTTATTATGCAGATGCCCAACCCCTGATTAATTAACTTTTCAAATATAACCAACATCCTATGTTTAACTTTAAAGTGGTTTCCAATTTTTATTCCATTAAAATAACCAAGCAACACTTGATTTTCCTTTTGAAAAATCTTGAAAGCAGGATACATTCTCCAACTGCCAGACTGCCGTTATATCTACAGCCCTGTGGTTTCTGAGTGTGTGAGTGTGTGTGAGTGTGTGTGTGTGTGTGTGTGTGTGTGTTTTATGAACTGGGCTCCGTCGAGTGCTCCAATTGGCTGAGAGGAATGTCTGGGCTATTTCTTGACCTTGTGGATATAAAAAGTAGAGAGGCCAAGCGAGATGACCCTGGAGTGGAGGGTAGCACTGATCTCTTTAGAGAGCGCCAGGAATAGTTTTCATGGAGGTAGGGTAGAGGAGGTGGATGACCCCGGAAACAGGGCGGAGGAGGCAGATGACCCCGGAAACAGGGCGGAGGAGGCAGATGACCCCGGAAGCAGGGCGGAGGAGGCGATGACCCCGGAAGCAGGGCGGAGGAGGCGATGACCCCGGAAGCAGGAGGCGATGACCCCGGAAGCAGGGCGGAGGAGGCAGATGACCCCGGAAACAGGGCGGAGGAGGCGGATGACCCCGGAAGCAGGGCGGAGGAGGCGATGACCGGGAAGCAGGGCGGAGGAGGCAAATGACCATGGAAGCAGGGCGGAGGAGGCAGATGACCTCCTTTGCAAGGTTCCTTTTAGACTCAAAGTCTTATGGTTTCCATAGTGCTACCTATTCTTTGGAACACTCCACCTCCTGTTTGTCCATTCATTACTGCAGGCATGCTCAATCCTTTTTACATGTTAGCATCACCAGCAAAAGCGGGGTTTTAAAAACAGCAGTAGCAATGCCAGAATCTACTTCTCCAGTGCTGTTGATCCAATTTTGATCCAATTAGACTAAGGTGGAGCCCAGACACTGTGTGTGTGTGTGTGTGTGTGTGTGTGTGTGTGTGTGTGTGTGTTTAAGCTCTTCCAATCTGCAGCCAGGGTTGAGAACTTCTGCTTTATGGCTTTTTTTTTTTTTTTTGACGGAGTTTCGCTCTTGTCGCCCAGGCTGGAGTGCAGTGGTGCGATCTCGGCTCACTGCAACCTCCGCCTCCCGGGTTCAAGCGATTCTCCTGCCTCAGCCTCCCGAGTAGCTGGGATTACAGGCGCCCGCCACCACGCCTGGCTAATTTTGTATTTTTAGTAGAGACGAGTTTCGCCATGTTGGTCAGGCTGGTTCCGAACTCCTGACCTCAGGTGATCCGCCCGCCTCGGCCTCGCAATGTACTGGGATTACAGGCGTGAGCCACCTTGCCCGGCCATGGCTTCTTAACTTCCTTGGGGTTTGGGTCACTGGCCTTGGTGCTGAATATCTTCAAGCCACCGGCACTGCTCTCAAAGAATCTATACATCCCATCTGGTTCCTCCAAAGTCATAAGCAGGTGTTTCAAAAATGCTGATGCGGCCGGGTGCGGTGGCTCACACCTGTGATCCCCGCACTTTGGCAGGCTGAGGCGGGTGGATTAACTGAAGTCAGGAGTTTGAGCCTGACCAACATGGTGTCTACTAAAAATAAAATAAAAATAAAAAATAATAAAAAATGGCCGGGCGCGGTGGCTCACGCCTGTAATCCCAGCACTTTGGGAGGCCGAGGCAGGCGGAACACAAGGTCAGGAGATCGAGACCATCCTGGCTAACACGGTGAAACCCTGTCTCTACAAAAAATACAAAAAATTAGCCGGGTGTGGTGTCGGGCGCCTGTAGTCCCAGCTGCTGGGGAGGCTGAGGCAGGAGAATGGCGTGAACCTGGGAGACAGAGCTTGCAGTGAGCTGAGATCGCGCCACTGCACTCCAGCCTGGGTGACAGAGCGAGACTCCGTCTCAAAACAAAAAACAAACAACAACAACATCAACAACAAAAAAAACCCCAAAAATTAGCTGGGTGTGGTGGCGGGCGCCTGTAGTCCCAGCTACTCCGGAGGCTGATGTAGGAGAATCACTTGAACCCGGGAGGCAGAGCTTGCAGTGAGCGAGATCGCACCATTGCACTTCAGCCTGGGCGAAAGAGCAAGACTCCATCTCAAAGAAAAAAAAAAAAGCTGATTCATGGAGGAACGGGGTATCCCGGCTCTTTCTAAGTGGCTTGGCTGAAAGATCAGTATTTTATTACTGCTGCTGCTGCTGCATGTACCTCCCCAGACAGCCAATTAGCCACAGAAACAGTTGATGCCTAAAGGAGTCCGTTCAGAGCTGAGCTTTTAACATCCAGAAGCACATCACGTAGCTAAACAATAGAATATTCACATCAGGCAAAAACATCTAGCTTTGGGTGACAATATTTGCTTCCTGGAGAAAGGGGCCCTCGGACGTCTACTATAGTTATACTGGGATTACAGGCATCTGTCACCACGCCTGGCAATTTTTTTGGTATTTTTAGTAGAGACGGGGTTTTGCTGTGTTGGTCAGGCTGGTCTTGGACCTGGAGTTTGGTAGCTCCTGGATGGGTAGAGAGGAGGGAACAGCACGCCTGACATTGTGGGAGGCAGCTGGCTATGGAGGAGGGAGCATCAGACCCAGAGTCAGAGATGAGGGCTTGAACGTCATTTCTGCTTTAGCACAGCAGCGTGACTTTGCAATTAATCCAGCTGGTGGTCAATTCCTCCTCTGTAAAGTGGCGATAAGGATGGTCACCATGATTATGCTCTAATTATATTGTCAGGGTTATGTGAGGAAATGCTCGTAAGTATATCAGCAAAGTCAGGGTGCAGCTGACCTGACATAAGAGAGATCCTTGGGTTTGTCCTAATAGCCAGAAACTGGGCCTCTTTTGTTCCCCCTCGCTGATGTGGGAGAGGAGAGAACATTCCAGAGGTCTTTCACATCTTTAACTATGATAAAAGAAGCTAAGTGGGGGACATGTAAGCTATGTTCTGTGTGGACACACAGGTGGAACCCTGGAACCCAGCCATCATTTTAACCAGCCTCCCAGCGGTTCTGATGCACGCCAAATGTGGAGAACCACTATTCTGTTCTCTGTTGGCCATTCTTGCTCTCTCTCTCTCTCTCTCTTTTTTGAGACGGAGTCTCGCTCTGTCACCCAGGCTGGAGCGCAGTGGCACAATCTCAGCTCCGTGCAACCTCCGCCTCCTGGGTTCAAGCGATTCTCCTGCCTCAGCCTCCTGAGCAGCTGGGATTACAGGCACCCACCACCAAGCCCAGCTAATTTTTGTATTTTAGTAGAGACAGGGTTTCACCATGTTGGCCAGGCTGGTCTCAAATTCCTGACCTCAGGTGATCTGCCCGCCTTGGCCTCCCAAAGTGCTGGGATTACAGGCGTGAGCCACCGCAACCGGCCTTTATCATTCTACTTTCTTAATGGTGGTTTTGATAAATAGAGGTTATGAATTTTAATGTAACCCAATGTATCCATGTTTTTCCTTTGTGGGTAGTGTTTTGTATCCTGTTAAGGAAACTTTGCCTGCGCCCAGTGCCATGAAGATAGTCTCCGGCGTTTTTTTTCTAGAAGCTGTATTATTTTGCTTTTCAATTTAGAACTATAAATATTCTGCAACTAATTATGATGTATAATTTGAGGCAGGGGTCAAGATTCATTTTTCCATATGGATATGCAATTGATCCAGCACCATATGAGAAGGTCATCCTTTTTTTTTTTTTTTTTTTTTTTTTTTAGACAAAGTCTCGCTCTTGTCCCCCCAGGCTGGAGAGCAATGGTGTAATCTTGGCTCACTGCAACCTCCGCCTCCCAGGTTCAAGCGATTCTCCTGCCTCAGCCTCCCTAGTGGCTGGGACTACAGACGTGTGCCATCATGCCCAGCTAATTTTTGTATTTTTAGTAGAGACACGGTTTCACTATGTTGGCCAGGCTGGTCTCAAACCCCTGACCTCAGCCGATCCGCCCGCCTCAGCCTCCCAAAGTGCTGGGATTACAGGCGTGAGCCACTGCGCCTAGCCTCATCCTTTCTTTACTGTACTGACGCACCAATTTTGTCATGAACGAAGCAGTTGTCCCGAGTCTCCTTCTGGATTTCTCATTCTTTTCCATTGGTCTATTTTTCTTTTCTTTTTTTTTTTGAGACGGAGTCTCGCTCTGTCGCCCAGGCTGGAGTGCAGTGGTGTGATCTCGGCTCACTGCAAGCTCCGTCTCCCGGGTTTACACCATTCTCCTGCGTCAGCCTCCCAAGTAGCTGGGATTACAGGCGTGAGCCACTGCCCCCAGCCCTCCATTGGTCTATTTTTCTGTCCTGGAGAAAACACCACTCTGTTTTAATTACTATAACTTTACAATAAGTCCTGATATCTGGTAATAGGTCCTGCGGATTTGTTCTTTATCCTCAAAGTTATCTTGGCTATTCTTGATCCTTTGCATTTTTTTTTTCTTTTCCGAGACAGAGTCTCGCTCTGTCACCCAGGCTGGAGTGCAGTGGTGTGATCTCGGCTCACTGCAACCTCCACCTCCCGGGTTCAAGCAATTCTCCTGCCTCAGCCTCCTGAGTAGCTGGGATTAGGGGCATGCACCACCATGTCTGGCTAATTTTTGTGTTTTCAGTAGAGTCGGGGATTCACCATCTTGGCCAGGCTGGTCTGGAACTCCTGACCTCAGGTGATCCTCCCACCTCTGCCTTCCAAAGTGCTGGGCTTACAGGAGTGAGCCACTGAGCCTGGCTGGTCCTTTGCATTTTTATATAAATTGTGGAATCACTTTGTCAGCTTCCAAGAAAAACTTGCTGGATTTTGATTGGCGTTACACTAAATATATAGATCAACTGGAGGAGAATGAACATCTTTACAATATTGAATCTTGAGTTCATGTCTTGATATTTCTCTCCATTTATTTTGGTCTTGCCAATATTTCAGTGTCTTTTACTGGCAGGTCCTGATGCCTGTCTGATCAGTGTCCGTATGTTCATTCCATTTTTATCCTCCCTGTTATTGGGGACAATCAGGAGGATATAAAACTGTAGGCTTATAACTCATACCCGTTAGAATGGCTACCATCAAAAAACAAAACAGAGGCCAGGTGCGGTGGCTCACACCTGTAATCCCAGCACTTTGAGAGGCCGAGGTGGGTGGATCACGAGGTCAGGAAATTGAGACCTCCCTGGCTAACATGGTGAAACCCTGTCTCTACTAAAACTACAAAAAATTAGCTGGGCATGGTGGTGGGCACCTGTAGCCTAGCTACTCGGGAGGCTGAGGCAGGAGAATGGCGTGAACCTGGGAGGCGGAGTTGCAGTGAGCCAAGATAGCGCCACTGCACTCCAGCCTGGGCAACAGAGCGAGATTCCATCTCAAAAAACAAACAACAAACCAGAGGCCAGGCATGGTGGCTCACACCTGTAATCCTGGCACTTTGAGAGGCCAATGTGGGCAGATCATTTGAGCCCAGGAACTTGAGCCTGGGAAACAGAAGGCTCTACATCTCTACAAATAATAAAAAATTAGTCAGGTGTGGTGGCATGTGCCTGTGGTCCCAGCGACTCAGAGGGCTGAGGTGGGAGGATTGCTTGAGCCCAGGAGGTCGAGGCTGCAGTGACCCGTGATCACGCCACTGCCCTCCAGCCCAAGAAACAGAGCAAGATCGTGTCTCCAAAAAAAAAAAGTATTGGCTGGGCGCGGTGGCTCACGCCTATAATCCCAGCACTTTGGGAGGCCAAAGCAGGCGGATCACTAGAGGTCAGGAGTTCAAGACCAGCCTGGCCAACATGGTGAGACCCCGTCTCTACTAAAGGTACAAAAATCAGCCAGGCGTCGTGGCGGACGGCTGTAATGCCAACTACTCGGGAGGCTGAGGCAGGGGAATCACTTGAATCTGGGGAGGAGGAGGTTGCAGTGAGCTGAGATTGCACCACTGCACTCCAGCCTGGGCGACAGAGTGGGACTCCATCTCAATAAATAAATAAATAAATAAATAAATAAATAAATAAATAAATAAGTGCTGGTGAGGATGCTGAGGCACTAGAACCCCTGTGCACCGTCGGTTGGAATGCACAATAGTGCAGTCACTATGGAAAACAGTAAGGCAAGTCCTCAAAAAGTTAAAAATAGAATTACCATGTGATCCAGCAGTTCCGCTTCTGGGTATATGCCCAGAAGAATTGAAAGCGGGATCTCAAAAAGATCTTTGCAAGCCCATGTTCACAGCAGTATTATATTTACAATAGCCAAAAGGTGGGCTGGGCGAGGCGGCTCATGCCTATAATCCCAGCACTTTGGGAGGCCGAGGCGGGCCAATCAGCTGAGGTCGGGAGTTCGAGACCAGCCTGACCAACCTGGCGAAACCCCGTCTATACTAAAAATACAAGAAATTAGCGGGGCGTGGTGGCTCATGCCTGTAATCCCAGCTACTTGGGAGGCTGAGGCAGGAGAATCACTTGACTCTGGGAGGTGGGGGTTGCAGTGAGCCTAGATCGACCCGTGGCACTCCAGCCTGGCCAAGAAAAGCGAAACTCCATTTCAATAAATAAATACATAAATAAAATAGGTTGTCATGGGTCAAATGAAATGTATGTGAAAGTAAGTGGCACATAGTAGATGTTCAATAAATGTGAGCTGAGGCCAGGCGCAGTGGCTCATGCCTGTAATCCCAGCACTTTGGGAGGCCAAGGGAGGTGGATCACCTGAGGTCAAGAGGAGTTCGAGACCAGCTTGTACAATATGGTGAAACCCTGTCTCTACTAAAAATACAAAAATTAGCTGGGTGTGGTGGTGGGCACCTGTAATCCCAGCTACTTGGGAGGCTGAGACAGGAGAATCGCTTGAACCCGGGAGGCGGAGGTTGCAGTGAGCAGTGATCGCGCCACTGCACTGCAGCCTGGGCAACAGAGTGAGAATCTGTCTCAAAAAAAAAAAAAAAAAAAAAAGAGAAAGAGCTGAATGTGAGCAAAATGGAGCTTCTGAGAGTAGAACAGCGTAGCTCGTGGTTTTCCCCCAGAAAATTAGCACTGAGGATAAGATTGACATTTTTGGTGAAAATAAAAATACAGTACTTACTGTGGATTTAATTCATCTGTGCCTAGCCTGTCTGAACTTTATTTTTTATTCTTTTAATGTTTTTATGTATTTTTTGAGACAGGGTCTTGCTCTGTCACCCAGGCTGGAGTGCAGTGGCGCAATCACGGCTCACTGCAGCCTCCAACTCCTGGACTCAAATGAATCTCCCTCCTCAGACTCCTAAGTAGCTGGGACTACGGTATGCACCACTATGCTTGGCTCATATTTTTTTGCATTTTTTTGTAGAGAAGGGATCTCCCTGGGTTCCCCAGGCTGGTCTCAAACTCTGAGGCTCAAGTGATCCTCCTGCCTCGGCCTCCCAAAGTTCTGGGATTACAGGTGTGAGCCACTGTGCCTGGCCCAGTTTATCTGAAGTGATGGAGAGATTGGTGAACTATTACTACATTTTTCTTTTTTCTTTCTTTCTTTCTTTTTTTTTTAATGGAGTTTCACTCTTTTTGCCCAGGCTGGAGTGCAGTGGGGCGATCTCGGCTCATTGCAACCTCCGCCTCCCGGGTTCCAGCGATTTTCCTGCCTCAGCCTCCTGAGTAACTGGAATTACAGGTGCCCACCACCATGCCTGGCTAATTTTATATTTTTAGTAGAGACAGGGTTTCACTATGTTGGCCAGGGTGGTCTCGAACTCCTGACCTCATGATCCACCCTTTTTGGCCTCCCAAAGTGTTGGGATTACAGGCATGAGCCACCAAGCCCGGCTTCCTATGTGTTTTCATAGGGTCTTTAAACTCCTGACTTTGAACTCCCAGGAGACCTGTGACTCACCTAATTAATCAGCTAGCCAAAGCTTTTTGTTAGATTCAATCTTGTGAAATCCATTTTCTTATCAGCACAAACTAGGGCTTTTGATAAAACAATATCCAAATGAAAAGGACTTTTAGGCCTCCCAAGATGTGCTTCACAGCCTCTTTTTAATTGAAAGCCTTTTACAAATGTAACCCATATTTCTGATTTGATCTTTTTCTAAAAGATGAAGCTTTTATTATTATATCTGGTTCCCATTCTAATTCCACTCTTACCAGCTGCAAGCTCCTGAGCAGGTTCTCGCTTCTGCACAAACCAACCCCAGGGGCCGGGCGCGGCGGCTCACGCCTGTAATCCCAGCACTTTGGGAGGCCGAGGAGGGTGGATCACTTGAGGCCAGGAGTTCGAGACCAGCCTGGCCAACATGGTGAAACCCCATCTCTACTAAAAATATAAACATTAGCCGGGCCCAGTGGTGAGTGCCTGTAATTCCAGCTACTTGGGAGGCTAAGGCAGGAGAATCACTTGAACCCGGGAGGTGGAGGTTGCAGTGAGCCAGGATCGCGCCACTGCGCTCCAGCCTGGGTGACAGAGCCAGACTCCGTCTCAAAAAAAAAAAAAAAACCCACTTAGAGAAATTGTTGTTTTCTTCTTCAGGCTTTTCGCATTTTCCAAGTTTGCTGCAATGACGTTGTATTAATTTTGCAATTGGAATGAAATTAAGAAAGGAAAAAACCCACTCCACACCCCTGGGCAAAGTCACCCAGGAGGGAGAAGGTTCACAGCCAGGCAGTGGGAATGTGGAGGCTGTGGGCTGGTGAGAGGTTTTCCCTGCCATTTCCCCCCCTTTCTGTCCTGTCGCTATTATGTTGCTCTTATAATTAAACCCGCTGTGCAGGGAGCCGCTGATCTTGGTCGCCTGGGGTGTGTGTTTACCTCCTGCCTGTTTAAGCAGCCCATGAGTGGCTCCCACGGGCCATGATGAAAACATGAGTTCCTCCAGCTCGGTTCCCCTGGGAGGGCAGCCGGGCCCTGCCTGGAACCTCGTGTTCCCCTCTCCAGGGAGCGTCTGTAGACCCTGGAATGTCTGCACGGGCTAACAACCAGAGGGAGCCAAGCCTGGGACCTCTGTACCCTGAGACCTCAGTGCCCTGGGACTTCCCAAAGACCCAACAGGTGGATGAGTTCTGGGAAGACTGTGGGGTCTGGTTTTAAGGGTGAGAGCAAATCACACTGGCCCGTTCTTAGATCCGGGTTCAATCCCATTACCTGGATTTTCCAGCATCCGTGGTGCCTGTTCACTGGATATCCTGTACAGCCACGGGCCCCCTGAGTGGCTTAGGAGGTCGGAAAGGGCCTCTGACCTCAGCAGGGAACCAGGAGGTAGACGCATCCATTTTCCCCACTGGCCAGGCTGGAGCTGGCAGCCCTGCCTCCAACTGGGGCAATGGGAGGGCAGGCTGATAGCAAAGGAGACGCTGGAGGCAAGAGCCCGACCAAAGCATCCAGCTCCAGGGCGAGGGCCAAGAGCAAGAACCAGATCCAAAGCAAAGGTCAGGAAGACGGGAGCCTGGGGAGGGCAGCGGGGGAGAGGCTTTTCTGGAGAGCTCTGTCCTGGAGGGAGAGGAAGCTTTTTTTTTTTGAGATGGAGTCTCACTCTGTCACCAGGCTGGAGTGCAATGGCGCGATCTCGGCTCACTGCAACCTCCACCTCCCGGGTTCAAGCGATCCCCCTGTCTCAGCCTCCCGAATAGCTGGGACTACAGGCGTGTGCCACCACACCCAGCTAATATTTATATTTTTAGTAGAGACGGGGTTTCACCATGTTGGCCAGGATGGTCTTGATTTCTTGACCTCATGATCCGCCCGCCTCGGCCTCTCAAAGTGCTGGGATTACAGGCGTGAGCCACCGTGCCCGGCCGGGGAGAGGGAGCTTCTCAGGGCTTCCAGCCCCTCCAGCAGCTCAGGCCGCCTGGTGTTTTGGTGTCATTTCAGTCAGGTGAGGCTGATGCATCTTAAGGAGGCAGGTTTGTGGGAGATAGAAGGGATCTGCTACTTAAAAGCCCCTCGAAGTCCAGCTACCATGCAAAGGCCACTTACTAGAGCCCTTTTATTATAAAGCGACTATAGCTGTATGTCACAAATTTCTTTTTAAAAGCCCGGAAGAAAAATGTTCAGCTCTTCACATTGATTGCTTCAGCTAATGGATTACAGGGAATCATCTGTTCTCCCTCAGACATTCCTATTTTTTCAATTAAATTATAAATGATAAAGGTAATACATCTATAAATGCTTGGTGTAAGGTTCCAACGAAACAAGGTATATGGGATAAAAACTGGAGACTGCCTTTCTCACCTCCAGTCCCATAGCGACTCCCCCAGCCATGAGCGACGGCTGGTATCAGTTTGGTGCAGAGAACTTAGATGGGGTTTCTGTTTTGTTTTAAATAAGTTTAAAGAGTGAATCTCTTCACGCCTGTATCCAGCACTTTGGGAGGCTGAGGCTGGTGGATCACGACATCAGGAGATCAGACCATCCTGGCTAACACAGTGAAACCCCGTCTCTACTAAAAATACAAAAAATTAGCCGAGCATAGTGGTGGGTGCCTGTAGTCCCAGCTATTCGGGAGGCTGAGGCAGGAGAATGGCATGAACCCGGGAGGCGGAGTTTGCAGTGAGCCAAGATCGTGCCACTGCACTCCAGCCTGGGTGACAGAGCGAGACTCCATCTCAAAAAAAAAAAAAAAAAAAAAAGAGTGAATCTCACATGGGCTGGGGAGCACAGAAAATTCTTGCGGAGGATGGTTGCCCGAGAGAGTCAGGGCAAGCATAATGTTTTGTTTTAAATAAGTTTAAAGAGTGAACCTCGGCCGGGCACGGTAGCTCATGCCTGTAATCCCAGCACTTTGGGAGGCCGAGGTGGGCAGACCATGAGGTCAGGAGTTCGAGACCATCCTGGCCAACATGGTGAAACCCCGTCTCTACTAAAAATACAAAAATTAGCCGGGCGTGGTGGAAGATGCCTGTTATCCCAGCTACTCAGGAGGCTGAGGCAGGAGAATTGCTTGAACCCGGGAGGCGGAGGTTGCAATGAGCCAAGATCGCACCACTGCACCCCAGCGTAGGCAACAGAGCTAGACTCCATCTTGGAGGAAGGAAAAAAAAAACAAAGTGAATCTGACATGGGCCAGGGAGCACAGAAAGTTCTTGCGGATGATGGTTGCCCTAGAGAGTCAGGGCAAGCGTTGCAACATCAGACAGGGGCCTCTGGGACCTGGTCCTTGCACCATAGTCTTGCTCCTGCATTCCTGGAAATGTCCCAAGAAGACCAGGCTCTCCTCTCACCCAGAAACACCTTCCCCTGACAGTCAACTGTGTACAAGGGCACCCTCTTGCCACTTCCTTGAGGAACATAAAATTCAAACCAAATTGAGAAATTTGTGGAAGAAAAGCCTCTATCCAGTGAAAAACAAGTGGGGAAACTTTGAAAACACCAGCACATACGAAGGCAGGAACGAGGGCTCATCTGCTTCTGGCGACCCAGCCTCCAATCTGCCCTTTGCACTAGGGAACATTCCCACTGCGGAGGTGAGAGCATTCCCACTGGGGAGATGAGAACATTCCCACTGGGGAGGTGAGAGCATTCCCACTGGGGAGGTGAACATTCCCACTGGGGAGGTGAGAACATTCCCACTGGGGAGGTGAGAGCATTCCCACTGGGGAGGGGAACATTCCCACTGGGGAGGGAGCATTCCCACTAGGGAGGTGAACATTCCCACTGGGGAGGTGAGAACATTCCCACTGGGGAGGTGAGAACATTCCCACTGGGGAGGTGAACATTCCCACTGGGGAGGTGAGAACATTCCCACTGGGGAGGTGAGAACATTCCCACTGGGGAGGTGAGAGCATTCCCACTGGGGAGGGGAACATTCCCACTGGGGAGGTGAGAGCATTCCCACTGGGGAGGGGAACATTCCCACTGGGGAGGTGAGAGCATTCCCACTGGAGAGGTGAGAGCATTCCCACTGGAGAGGTGAGAGCATTCCCACTGGGGAGGGAGCATTCCCACTAGGGAGGTGAACATTCCCACTGGGGAGGTGAGAGCATTCCCACTGGGGAGGGGAGAGCATTCCCACTGGCGAGGTGAGAGCATTCCCACTGGGGAGGTGAGAGCATTCCCACTGGGGAGGTGAGAGCATTCCTACTGGGGCAGAGAGCAGATTGGAGGCTGGGACTTCCCAAAGCCCCCAACAGATGGATGAGTTCTGGGAAGACTGTGGGGGTCTGGTTTTACAGGTGAGAGCAAATCACACTTGCTTATTATTAGATCCAGGTTCAATCCCATTACCCAGATTTTCCAGCATCCGTGGTGCCTCTTCACCGGATATCTCGCTACAGCCACCGGTCCTCCAAATGGCTTACCACGAAGGAAAGGGGCTCTGTCTGAGGCTTCTGGCTGAGACCTGTGTTCATCTGGCACTTTCCAAAGGCAGTTTAGCCCCCCATTCCCAGGGGGTCCCCCAGCCATCTGGTCTGGTCAGCCCCAGTGTCCCAGGCTCCCAGCCACCTGGCCCTGGGGCTTCCACGTCTAGCCCCATCCCAGGAGCACCCTCCCTCTTCCAGGCCTGTGTGGTTGCCATGGCGACCCAGTCAGCTGACCCAGTGAGGAGGCAAAGCCCAGGCTGCCTTCTTCTCCCTGGCTCAGGAGTGGGTGGACCCAGTGGGGCCTCCACAGCAAGGGCTGCTTTTGAAGCACCTTCAGAATTCACTCCCCCAGTGCCTAAACCCTGTGTTTAAATTATAGGTAGGGAGCGGGCACAGTGGCTCACGCCTGTAATCCCAGCACTTTGGGAGGCCGAGGCGGGCGGACCATCTGAGGTCAGGAGTTCAAGACCAGCCTGGACAACGTGGTGAAACCCCGTCTCTACTAAAAATACAAAAATTAGCCGGGCGTGGTGGTGCATGCCTGTAGTCCCACCTACTTGGGAGGCTGAGGCAGGAGAATCGCTCGAACCCGGGAGGCGGAGGCTATGGTGAGCCAAGATCTCGCCATTGCACTCCAGCCTGGGCAAGGGTGAAACTCTATCTCAAAACAACAACATCAAAAATTATAGGCAGGAAAAAAATGGGAGAGAGAGAAACTGGACACCTTAATGCCTCACAATGGGAGAAAGGATAAGTAAATAAATAAGTTATCATGTATATGCATTATCCAGCCGTCTTAAAAGGATGTTTACAGATAATTTTTTGTATACAGAGTTTTTAATAACGGAAATACTTGGGTTTGCAAATCTAAAACTTAGCTTTACAAGAAAATATTTCTCAAAGAAGGGGCTTGGCAACCCATCGAATTTAGGAAATACTGCATAATCCACCCTTTCTTGGAGGTACATGGTGCACGTGGGTGTATGAAGGTCTCTGAGAAATCTTACTGTCATGCTCCGTTTAGCTCGACGTAATTCACGGTTTTCCTGACTGTCTGATGACAGCGTGTAGCTCGATGTCATTCCGTTTTCCTGATCTGTCTGATGACAGCGTGTAGCTCGATGTCATTCCGTTTTCCTGATCTGTCTGATGACAGCGTGTAGCTCGATGTCATTCCGTTTTCCTGATCTGTCTGATGACAGCGTGTAGCTCGATGTCATTCCGTTTTCCTGATCTGTCTGATGACAGCGTGTAGCTCGATGTCATTCCGTTTTCCTGATCTGTCTGATGACAGCGTGTAGCTCGATGTCATTCCGTTTTCCTGATCTGTCTGATGACAGCGTGTAGCTCGATGTCATTCCGTTTTCCTGATCTGTCTGATGACAGCGTGTAGCTCGATGTCATTCCGTTTTCCTGATCTGTCTGATGACAGCGTGTAGCTCGATGTCATTCCGTTTTCCTGATCTGTCTGATGACAGCGTGTAGCTCGATGTCATTCCGTTTTCCTGATCTGTCTGATGACAGCGTGTAGCTCGATGTCATTCCGTTTTCCTGATCTGTCTGATGACAGCGTGTAGCTCGATGTCATTCCGTTTTCCTGATCTGTCTGATGACAGCGTGTAGCTCGATGTCATTCCGTTTTCCTGATCTGTCTGATGACAGCGTGTAGCTCGATGTCATTCCGTTTCCCTGATCTGTCTGATGACAGCGTGTAGCTCGATGTCATTCCGTTTTCCTGATCTGTCTGATGACAGCGTGTAGCTCGATGTCATTCCGTTTTCCTGATCTGTCTGATGACAGCGTGTAGCTCGATGTCATTCCGTTTTCCTGATCTGTCTGATGACAGCGTGTAGCTCGATGTCATTCCGTTTCCCTGATCTGTCTGATGACAGCGTGTAGCTCGATGTCATTCCGTTTTCCTGATCTGTCTGATGACAGCGTGTAGCTCGATGTCATTCCGTTTTCCTGATCTGTCTGATGACAGCGTGTAGCTCGATGTCATTCCGTTTTCCTGATCTGTCTGATGACAGCGTGTAGCTCGATGTCATTCCGTTTTCCTGATCTGTCTGATGACAGCGTGTAGCTCGATGTCATTCCGTTTTCCTGATCTGTCTGATGACAGCGTGTAGCTCGATGTCATTCCGTTTTCCTGATCTGTCTGATGACAGCGTGTAGCTCGATGTCATTCCGTTTCCCTGATCTGTCTGATGACAGCGTGTAGCTCGATGTCATTCCGTTTTCCTGATCTGTCTGATGACAGCGTGTAGCTCGATGTCATTCCGTTTTCCTGATCTGTCTGATGACAGCGTGTAGCTCGATGTCATTCCGTTTCCCTGATCTGTCTGATGACAGCGTGTAGCTCGATGTCATTCCGTTTTCCTGATCTGTCTGATGACAGCGTGTAGCTCGATGTCATTCCGTTTTCCTGATCTGTCTGATGACAGCGTGTAGCTCGATGTCATTCCGTTTTCCTGATCTGTCTGATGACAGCGTGTAGCTCGATGTCATTCCGTTTTCCTGATCTGTCTGATGACAGCGTGTAGCTCGATGTCATTCCGTTTCCCTGATCTGTCTGATGACAGCGTGTAGCTCGATGTCATTCCGTTTTCCTGATCTGTCTGATGACAGCGTGTAGCTCGATGTCATTCCGTTTCCCTGATCTGTCTGATGACAGCGTGTAGCTCGATGTCATTCCGTTTTCCTGATCTGTCTGATGACAGCGTGTAGCTCGATGTCATTCCGTTTTCCTGATCTGTCTGATGACAGCGTGTAGCTCGATGTCATTCCGTTTTCCTGATCTGTCTGATGACAGCGTGTAGCTCGATGTCATTCCGTTTTCCTGATCTGTCTGATGACAGCGTGTAGCTCGATGTCATTCCGTTTTCCTGATCTGTCTGATGACAGCGTGTAGCTCGATGTCATTCCGTTTTCCTGATCTGTCTGATGACAGCGTGTAGCTCGATGTCATTCCGTTTTCCTGATCTGTCTGATGACAGCGTGTAGCTCGATGTCATTCCGTTTTCCTGATCTGTCTGATGACAGCGTGTAGCTCGATGTCATTCCGTTTTCCTGATCTGTCTGATGACAGCGTGTAGCTCGATGTCATTCCGTTTTCCTGATCTGTCTGATGACAGCGTGTAGCTCGATGTCATTCCGTTTTCCTGATCTGTCTGATGACAGCGTGTAGCTCGATGTCATTCCGTTTTCCTGATCTGTCTGATGACAGCGTGTAGCTCGATGTCATTCCGTTTTCCTGATCTGTCTGATGACAGCGTGTAGCTCGATGTCATTCCGTTTTCCTGATCTGTCTGATGACAGCGTGTAGCTCGATGTCATTCCGTTTTCCTGATCTGTCTGATGACAGCGTGTAGCTCGATGTCATTCCGTTTTCCTGATCTGTCTGATGACAGCGTGTAGCTCGATGTCATTCCGTTTTCCTGATCTGTCTGATGACAGCGTGTAGCTCGATGTCATTCCGTTTTCCTGATCTGTCTGATGACAGCGTGTAGCTCGATGTCATTCCGTTTTCCTGATCTGTCTGATGACAGCGTGTAGCTCGATGTCATTCCGTTTCCCTGATCTGTCTGATGACAGCGTGTAGCTCGATGTCATTCCGTTTTCCTGATCTGTCTGATGACAGCGTGTAGCTCGATGTCATTCCGTTTCCCTGATCTGTCTGATGACAGCGTGTAGCTCGATGTCATTCCGTTTTCCTGATCTGTCTGATGACAGCGTGTAGCTCGATGTCATTCCGTTTTCCTGATCTGTCTGATGACAGCGTGTAGCTCGATGTCATTCCGTTTTCCTGATCTGTCTGATGACAGCGTGTAGCTCGATGTCATTCCGTTTCCCTGATCTGTCTGATGACAGCGTGTAGCTCGATGTCATTCCGTTTTCCTGATCTGTCTGATGACAGCGTGTAGCTCGATGTCATTCCGTTTTCCTGATCTGTCTGATGACAGCGTGTAGCTCGATGTCATTCCGTTTCCCTGATCTGTCTGATGACAGCGTGTAGCTCGATGTCATTCCGTTTTCCTGATCTGTCTGATGACAGCGTGTAGCTCGATGTCATTCCGTTTTCCTGATCTGTCTGATGACAGCGTGTAGCTCGATGTCATTCCGTTTTCCTGATCTGTCTGATGACAGCGTGTAGCTCGATGTCATTCCGTTTTCCTGATCTGTCTGATGACAGCGTGTAGCTCGATGTCATTCCGTTTTCCTGATCTGTCTGATGACAGCGTGTAGCTCGATGTCATTCCGTTTTCCTGATCTGTCTGATGACAGCGTGTAGCTCGATGTCATTCCGTTTCCCTGATCTGTCTGATGACAGCGTGTAGCTCGATGTCATTCCGTTTTCCTGATCTGTCTGATGACAGCGTGTAGCTCGATGTCATTCCGTTTTCCTGATCTGTCTGATGACAGCGTGTAGCTCGATGTCATTCCGTTTTCCTGATCTGTCTGATGACAGCGTGTAGCTCGATGTCATTCCGTTTTCCTGATCTGTCTGATGACAGCGTGTAGCTCGATGTCATTCCGTTTTCCTGATCTGTCTGATGACAGCGTGTAGCTCGATGTCATTCCGTTTTCCTGATCTGTCTGATGACACAGCCCTTCTCCAGAGAACCCCTTTTGGCATCTCCAGGGCTGAGACGTGTCACTCTGCCTCCTTGTCCCCTGTAGAGGTGGCCACTGTGCGTCCAGCTGACGGTTGCCACCCACACCTTCCTGGAGGCTGCAGGAGATCCTTTTCCTGCCTGCCGTGCCCGCCCCTGATGCCCGCTCTGTCGTGAGAGTTTTCAGTAACAGCTTGGATGACTGGACTGAATTGGAGTCCATGCTTGTTTCTAAGTTAGATACTAATTATTTGACTTTTCTCCCCTTCTTTTTCTTTTTTTTCTTTTCTTTTTTTGGGACAGGGTCTTGCTCCATTGCCCAGGCTGGAGTGCAGTGGTGCAATCATGGCTCACTGCAACCTCCTCCTCCCAGGCCCAAGCGATCCTCCCTCCTCAGCCTCCAAAAGCACTGGGATTACAGGCATGAGCCACCATTCCTGGCCTCCTCCTCCTCCTTCTTCTTTTTTTTTTTTTTTAGACGGAGTCTCGCTCTGTCGCCCAGGCTGGAGTGCAGTGGCGAGATCTCAGCTCACTGCAAGCCCCGCCTCCCGGGTTCACGCCATTCTCCTGCCTCAGCCTCCCGAGTAGCTGTGACTACAGGCGCCCAGCACTACGCCCCACTAATGTTTTGTATTTTTAGTAGAGATGGGGTTTCACCGTGTTAGCCAGGATGATCTTGAAGTCCTGGCCTCTGGATCTGCCCACCTCGGCCTCCCAAAGTGCTGGGATTACAGGCGTGAGCCACCGGGCCCGGCCTCCTTCTTTTAATGGTGTTTATCATAGGAAATGAGAAATAAATCAACCCCACCACTGTCATTAATCTACCTGCTGGAAGGGATTAATCACCGAATGGTCCCAAGTCGGTGCCTCCCTGACCCTGTGCATGATGAGCCCAGCGCTTGCCCTCCTGACCCTGCCCCACGCCTGCCATCGGCCTGGCTCCAGCTGGACACCTTCACCCCTTCCACACCTGGACCACTCCGGCAGAACTCCGTGGAGATGTCACTTCCTCAGGCAGAGCTTCCCTGATTCCCTCCATCACATACTTTCAGGACAATTCCTAATCAGTATCACATATTGTAAGGATGTATCCATTTTTTATTCTCTCCAGGCACTAAACTAAAAGTTCCCAAAACACAGCACAGTGTCTGCTACATAGTAGGCATTCAACGACTGTTCATTCAGTAAACAAACTATAACTTGACACTTTTTTTTTTTTGAGACAGAGTCTTGCTCTGTCGCCCAGGTTGGAGTGCAGTGGTGCAATCTCGGCTCACTGCAAGCTCTGCCTCCCGGGTTCATGCCATTCTCCTGCCTCAGCCTCCTGGATACCTTATTCTTAATTTGCTGATACCTTGATAGTGCACATCTAGTTGAAACACTGGCTGCTCCGCAGTATCCATTCTTTTCCTAACAGAACCGCGGTTTGCCTTGGGGCATCCGTGTGCTCCGCTGAAAGGAAGGAATTTCCCAGCCTCCTCTGCAGCTAGTGGTGGTTGTATGGCACAGTCGTGGTCCAAGAATATAAAGCAAAGTCACTGGACAGGAACTCCTGGAAAGCTCTTTAAAGGGGACCTGTTGGTCCGAGTGCAATGGTGTTTACAATGAATTGGTCACAACCAGTCACATTTTTCTTTCTTTCTTTTCTTTTCTTTTTTTTTTTTTAATTGAGACAGAGCCCTGCTCTGTTGCCCAGGCTGGAGTGCAGTGGTGCAATCTCTGATCTCTGCTCACTGCAACCTCTGCCTCCCAGATTCAAGTGATTCTCCTGCCTCAGCCTCCCGAGTAGCTGGGATTACAGGCACGCGCCACCATGCCTGGCTAATTTTGTATTTTTAGTAGAGACGGCATTTCACCATGTTGGCCAGGCTGGTCTCCATCTCTTCACCTTCTGATCTGCCCACCTTGGCCTCCCAAAGTGCTGGGATGACAGGTGTGAGCCACCGTGCCCAGTAATTCTGGATAATTGTTTTGATTATCTTCCTACCTCCACTCCTACCCCTCCCTGGCGGCCCCACCCAGAGATACCCCAGATAGGGCATCACCCACCCTGGCCCGCACCCTCTCCCCTGAAGTTCTGACCACCTCCACCCTAAGCAGGCCCGTCAGTTACCCACCAATCTCCCCTTCCCAAGACCTTGGCAGCAGTGAAAGAAGCCATTTACTATAAACAATATCAGCGACAGCATCAACTTGTGTTTATGGAACTCATGCTGCAGTCAGGACCAGGCCGGCTTCTTCTCACCATAAACACGATCCACCTGATACACTGTTTCCATTCGACCCATGAAGAGGTGGAGGCGCAAAGAAGTTCAAGGGCCGGACACCCTGGCTCAGGCCTGTAATCCCAGCACTTAGGGAGGCTGAGGCGGGTGGATCACTTGAGGTTAGGAGTTTGAGACCAGCCTGGCCAACATGGTGAAACCCCGTCTCTAGTAAAAATACAAAAAAAAAAAATTAGCCGGGTGTGGTGCAGAAGCCTGTAGTCCCAGCTACTCGGGAGGTTGAAGCAGGGGAATCGCTTGAACCTGGGAGGCAGAGGTTGCAGTGAGCTGAGATCATACCGCTGCACTCCAGCCTGGCGATAGAGTGAGACTCTTTCTCAAAAAGAAAAAAAAAAGATGTTTAAGGATTCAGCATTTGAACTCCGGCTGCCTGACTCTGAGTCCCAGATGGCCAGGAGCACAGTGAGGATGGCCAGCCTGGTCCAGGGGCTGCAGGCAGCTCCATCCTGATGACATGGGTCGTTGCAATTCCAAAGCTGTGGGGCCTTTCCTGGGCCTGCCTTGTGGGCAGGAGGAGAAGCTTGAGATTCCGTACAGCCTCCCCCACAGAAGCACAGTAAGCAAAGAGGAGCCAACCCTGAGGGGCGAGGCGGGGAGGAGCTGGGCTGCACCTCGGCTCGCAATCTTCTGTGCTTCCTCGCTCTGATTAATTATTCATACCCACGACCAGGCAGCAGATCAATAATGCAGGAGCAGAAGCCCTGGCTGCCCCGCTTCCAGCTGACCGGCTGTGCTGCCACCTCCGGGAAAGGACCCCAACAAGGCGTAGCGGGCAGGTCTGCCCAGGACGGCCTCGCAGACTGTGCCCTGCTCAGGCAGTGCCCAGGACCTCTGAAATCCAACTACCCTCAGCACACCAGGCTGGGCGTCCAGCCGCAAACATCCCAGGAAGGGGAGGCGTTTGCAGTTTTCATGTTTTTGTCTGTATAGGAGGGCCCACTTTGCAGTCAGCACAAAGGCAGCATATGAACCTGGGCCAACTCCGGGAGCAGGAATTCCTGCCCCAGGACAGGGGTGCAAGAGGCCTCACAGCTTCCCAGGGTCCCTGCCCCCTCCTGCTTCCTCCAGGCCTAGAGTCTGGGGATGGAGACCAGGGAGAACCCAGGGTGTTGATTTTGGTTGTGAGTAGAAGTTTCCATCCAAGCAGCTCTGAGACACCCACTTGGCTCTCCTTCAACCCTGGGAAGGTTCTAGAAGGTCCAACATCCCCCAGAATTGCACTTTTGGGCCACGCCCACCCTGCCCTTCCAACTTCCTCCCCCCCACACAAAGGTGGTCTTCTCCACCTGGGCCACAGCCTCACTGTGACCACGCTGGATGTGGGTGCCGGCCTCTTCTGCTGTGAGACCCCCTTCCACACTTATCTGGGGTTTCTCTTATCCTTCTCTTGGTTTCTCAGTATTGCCTAGATGTTCTCAGTTTGTTACAATAAATTCTAGGATGAAGAAAGAAAGGAAGAGAGGGAGGGAGACAGAGGGATGGAGGATTATTCTTTTAGAGGTGAGATAAAGGCCCCACTGGCAGGTTTCAAGCCTGTAAGTGCCTCTCAGCTCCGTGGCTCTGCCTTTCTGGGACTGCAGGAAAGCCGGCCGGCCCCAAGGAACGCTGAGAGTGGAAGCTGCCTCAGGCATCTGATCAGAGCTGGTCCAACTTTCTTTCCTTCTTTCTTTCTTTCATTTTTGAGACAGACTCTTGCTCTGTCACCCAGGCTGGAGTGCAATGGTGCGATCTCAGCTCACTGCAACCTCTGCCTCCCGGGTTCAAGTGATTCTCCTGCCTCAGCCTCCTGAGTAGCTGGGATTACAGGCGCCTGCCACCATGCCTGGCTAATTTTTGTATTTTTAGTAGAGATGGGGTTTCACCATATTGGCCAGGCTGGTTTCGAACTCCTGACCTCGTGATCTGCCCGCCTCAGCCTCCCAAAGTGCTGGGATTACAGGGCTAGCGACTCTTCTGGCCTGGTCCAACTTTAAATTGCATACAAAGCACCTGAGGATCCTGTTAAAGGGCTGATTCTGATTGATAAGGCTAGGGTATGGCCTGAGCTTTCTGACAGCTCCAGGTGATGCCCATGCTGATGGTCCGGGGACCACACTTTGAGTAGCAAAAGCCTCTAGAGTCCAGACCGGTGGGGCCCAGGCTTGAGTGTCCATTGGGATCACCTGGAAGGCTTTTAAAACTCTGGTGTGCAAGCTGCACCCAGACCAATTAAGCCAGATTCACTAGCAGTGGCACCCAGGTAGTAGAATATTTTTTTTTTTTGAGACAGAGTCTCACTGTGTCGCTCAGGCTGGAGTATAATGGTGCGATCTCAGCTCACTGCAACCTCCACCTCCTGAATTCAAGTGATTCTCCTGCCTCAGCCTCCCAAGTAGCTGGGATTACAGGTACCCTCCACCATGCCCGGCTAATTTTTGTATTTTTAGTAGAAGACGGGGTTTTGCCATGTTGGCCAGGCTAATCTCGAACCCCTGACCATCCGCTCGCCTCGGCCTCCCAAAGTGCTGGCATTGCAGGTGTGAGCCACTGTGCCTGGCCGGTAGTAGGATTTTTTAAACATCTCAGGTGATTCCAGTGTGGCCAGGCCTGAAAAGCCTGCTCCAGACTGAGTCCCTCCTTTACACAGGGAGACTGAGGTTCAGAGGGAGGCCGTGGGCTGCCGGAGGTCACACAGCCAATGCCTGAAAGGCCTGGGACGGGGCCAGGTGCTCCTGGTTCCTGGACACAGGGGGCCGTCTCCTCTTTTGCATCAAGGAACGGGAAGGAGGCGAGGTAGGCCTGGGGCTGGAGGAGATCAGAATGTCGCGGTCAGCCTGGGGTGCCCAGAGCCTCCCAGATTGTGGGATGGGAGGAGCTGCCTGCTGAGCCCCAGGACGCGGCCTTCTGTGTGTCCAGCTCTCTGTCGGGCCTCCCACAGCCCATGGGCCTGCAGAGATCATGGACCTGTTTACCGACAGGGCGCCAGAGCCCCGGGTCCCAGAAGCACGTCTGTCATCGAAGCCTCCGCACGGTGAGACCCCCCTTTCCTCGTTTACTGATTGCAAAACACGTGCCCTCCTCCCAACCTGCTTTTAAACTTCTGAAATTGGTGTCCGACAAATGATCCCAAAGAAACTTCCAGGCCCCGATGCCAGGCCCCGATGCCTGCTGTGAAGGGGCGTGGACTTTCAGGCCCCCGATGCCTGCTGTAAAGGGGCCTGGCTGTCGCTGACAGAGGGTGTGTAGAAGGGTCCGGCTCACCTGAGTGTGGCTGTTGCTGACGTTACACTGGTGGCATTTCACCTTAATAATCACCTCCAGGTGGCTGGGCGCCGTGGCTCATGCCTGTAATCCCAGCACTTTGGGAGGCCGAGGCAGGTGGACCACCTGAGGTCAGGAGTTTGAGACCAGCCTGGCCAATATGGTGAAACCCCATCTCTAAAATGACAAAAATTAGCCGGTGTGGTGGCGGGCACCTATAATCCCAGCTACTTGGGAGGCTGAGGCAGGAGAATCGCTTGAACCTGGGAAGGCAGAGGTTGCAGTGAGCCGAGATCACGCCACTGCACTCCAGCCTGGACAACGAGAGCGAAACTCTGTCTCAAAAAACAAAACAAAACAAAAGTGTGTAAGGACACATGTACATCATATTTTTCAGTTCAATCAATGTTCGTTTTGAAGCTTGTCAGCTTCAACATATTGGTCAGGCTGGTCTCAAACTGGTGGCCTCAGGTGATCCGCCCGCCTCAGCCTCCCAAAGTGCTGGGAGCAGTTACAGGGTGTGGAAACAGTCAGCTCCCTTGGCAGAGCCCGCAGGCTTTTATGGTCTGGAGAGGCCCCTGTCACCGAGGCACGCTTCTCAAGGACTGTCCTGCTCTACTGGCTCCTGACTGTATGACCTTGGCTAAGCCCCTGGATCGCCTGAGTTTTATTTCTTCCCAGGAAAATGGGAGGATCCCTCGTGGAAGTGTTGTGAGGATTAAATGAGGTAATTCCAGCGGAGCAGGGAGCCCCGCGCCTGGCACACAGGAAGCGGCGCCGTGGCCTCCAGTCTGGATGGAAGGAGCTTCCGCTCACAGGGATCCTGCAACCTGGGAGGCTCCTGGTTGCTGGGGCCCCTCCCTCCCTCCTTCTACAGACTTGTCCTCAGCACCTGCTACGTGCCAGGCTCTGTACTGAACCCTGGGGACGCAGACACTTAGGGCAGGCTTCCTGGACCATGTGACTCCGACCTAAAGAAAACGCTCTAGGAAGGCAGAGAGTTGGTTGTTGGGGGTGGCAGTGAGTGTCCCAGTAGTGAGGCCAGCAGGGTGGGGAACCTGGTGGTCTAGGGACTGTCCCAGGAGGTCTGGGAGCCAGGAGCAGGAACATGGCTCAGCTCACTGCAGCTCCAACTTCTCTGACTCAAGTGATCTTCCCACCTCAGCTTCCTGAGTAGCTGGGACCTCAGGCGTGCAGCACCACGCCTGGCTGATTTTTAAATGTTTTCTAGAGACAGAGTCTCCTCATGTTGCAGGCTGGTCTCGAACTCTTGCCTGCCCTCTTCTCTCCAGGCCTGAGATCTATGCAGAAAGGACTGAAGGGAGATGAGACTGGCATTACCACTTATTTTACAGTTGGACAAACTGAGTCCCGGAGTGGACAAGTGACTTGCCCAGAGGAACGCCTTGAGTTGGCCACGGAGCCCCGATGTGCCAGGTTCCCAGTGCGCAGCCTCAGCCTGACCCTGGGGCCACAGGCGGAGTGGACTGCTCACCCCCGGATTGTTTGGAACCCCCTTGACCCCAGCAGCACAAACACACAGGCCAGAGGCGAGCACGTACATTCAGGTTTATTTATTTCCATGCTAAGACACACAGCGGC
The DNA here is from genome assembly GCF_000001405.40 of Homo sapiens. Lineage (NCBI taxonomy): Eukaryota > Metazoa > Chordata > Mammalia > Primates > Hominidae > Homo > Homo sapiens. The sequence goes on along the minus strand of NC_000017.11, from coordinate 1,300,935 downwards.
GTCACTGGTGTAGATGGTGAAGGCAGTGTGGGGTGGGTCTTGCTACTCCCTGTGGGACACAGGGAGAGGCTGGGTTAGTGCGTTAAGCCGGGCCACTGTGTTCATGCAGGTGGCGGCTAGAACCAAGATGGAGCCGGGACAGCAGGGCCACTGACCCCTCTGGCCTCCAGGCGGCGTGGGGCACGGGCTGTGGGGACCCTCCGTCCAGGTCCCCTGGTGTCCAGAATGGCTTTCTCCTCCAGGGCCCAAGCCCTTCTCCTGCTCTGTGCTCTGCGGGCCTCCGCCTCCTACACACACCTCGGGGGCCTCTGAGCTCTGTCCCTGGTGCCCTAGGAAACTCTCAAGTTATCCTCGCCTGCCTGGAAGAGCGCCCTGGCTGTGCTGTGCCCATTCCAGGGGCATCTGCAGTGGCTTCCCCTAAGCGGTGGCTGTGGCTGTCCTGGGTTCTGAGTGTGAACAAGCGTGTGTGTGTGTGTGTGTGTGTGTAGGAGTGCACGGCAGAGCCTATTTGTGTGGGTGTGAGAAGGTCTGGGCATGTGTGGCACTCCGAGGGCACCTAGAGTCCCTTCGGGTGTCATGTTCCTCCCGTGACAATCCCTCAACCATCGGTTCGTTTCTGTCCTCTCCCTGGGTTGCTGAGGCTGAGGACCCCGGGGGCCTGCCGGGAAAACGCCCACTCATCATCCCTCCTTCCAGAGCCAGAGCCTGTGCGTGGCCAGTTCCATCGACCTCGCCTCTCCCCTGTGTGACGTGACTTCACGAGGGACAGAAATACTCCGTGCTCACACCCTCCCCCAGCAAACAGGAGCATCTGTTTTGGTCTCAAAGATCCCATAAAGCAAACCCAACCAGTCCCTTCTGTATGAGCAGGAGAGGCTGGAGTTTATTCCCCAGGTGGGGACTGACGTAGGAACACCAGCCCCAAAGGACCAGCCCGGGCCCCCTGAGCCCTGCACCCCTGCCCTCTAGCAGTCACACGGGCTGTGGAAGGCTCAGAGCTCCAGCTGTGCATAGACCCAGGGCCCCTCCCTGTAGACAGAACCTCTGTACTGACCTGCTCTTCCCTTCCCCGGGCCTCTGAGGAGGGTGGGGAGGCGAACAAGGGCCTGGAGAGGAGGCAGGAGGGTCCTGATGGGACAAAGGATGCTGACTTCAACAGCTTTGGGCCACTCTGGGTGTGGCTGGGAGCCCTTCCCATGAAGGCATTGACTCTGGCTGTGAGGTGGGGCTGCCCAGGGCAGGAAAGCCTGGAGGTCTCCAGGGCCTGGGAGCTGCGGTCAGGAGGGTGGGCGGGGGCAGGAGAGGTGCCTGTGGCTGGAGCCTGGGCCAGGGAGAAGTGTAGGGAAAATCATGGGCCTGGAACGAAGGAAGAGGCCGAGGGCCCCACTTGGCTCCTTTCGGGGGTCCCATTAGGTCCTAAGATGAGAGGCCGTGGCGTCCAGGCCCCAGGCTCTGTACATGCAAGTGTATTCCCAAACCTGGTCCCCCGACTCTCCTGCAGACGGGGTCCTTCAGCTGAGCCCTTCCCTCGGTCTCAGGACGGTCAAACAACAGACCCCCATAAAAACTCTCTGACCCACGCCCTTGCAGGTGGCGCAAACGCCCCTGACAGCCTGGGACCCTTTGGGAAGTCCCCCCAGGGGTGGTCCCAAAGCCTCCTCCAGGGAAGGCCTCTGCTGTTTGTGGATGGCCAGGGGCCCAGGGCCAAGCACAGAGCATAGGGCTGGGCTGGAAGCCTGAAACTACCTAAGCAGCACCAGACGGAGCCCCAAGCTTGCACCCCAGGCCATCGCGGGGGCCACGGCAGGACGAGAGCTCAGACCTCGGCCCTCCCCGCTGGCTGACCTTGGCCAGGTCTGGTCCCAGGCTACAGCAGAAGTAGGAGGAAGAGGCAGACTGGCTTGTCCTGGGAGACATCCTGGGACCAGAGTCCTCGAGAGATGCTTCCGAAGCTGACAGGTGTGGGAAGAGGCGTGCGGGTCCTGCCATCCTGGTACCTGTCTTCACAGACACGCCTCTCGGCGCCACCACCTTGCAGCGGAGGATGTTAAGTGAGGCAGTTGCCTCCTTCCCGGGAGCTGCACCCCCCACAGGTGCCTGCCGGGGGAGGTCCCAGGCCTGTGCTGAGCACAGCTCCGCCTCTGCGCTCGGGGCCCTGGCTGGGATCACCGCGGGCGTGTGGCACGAAGCATGCAAACAGTCCATTCTTTCCCCGCTTGAGGAAAACACAAAAGATGGGGCCCCACGTCTTTGCTCCGAGTCCACAGACAGGAAGGAGCTCTGCTGCGTCTCTCCCCGCCAGCGTGTGTCTCGTTTGTGGGGCTGGGTTTTTTCCTCATTCATCCTGGCAGTTTTCGCTGCTTGGTGGAACCCAGGAAATTGTGGGAATGAGAAACAAGCCAGACTGCTGGGGTTGAGATCCCAGGACGCGTCCGGGAGAGTAAACCACGTTACCCATTGGGTTCGCTGTGCTTTCCTTCCTCGCTCCAGGCTTTCTTGTCAGATGGGGGCTGACAGTGGGTGACTGGGGGGTTTCCCTTTGAGTCTGTGCTTTTGGAACTTGGGGACAGGGGATGCTTGACAGTCAGCACCCTGGCCTCCCGCGGTGTGCAGGTCAGAGCTCTCCCGATGGCCAGGGCCGGCCTCTGCTAGCCCAGCTCCCTGCTTAAGTTTATTTCTTCTGAACTGTAAAGAAAAAAAACAGATATGGCAGAACAGGGCTCAGAACACTGGCTCTTCAAGTCCCTGACTGGAGGATTTGGGTTTCTGGTTCCCAGTGGGAAGTGGTAATAGGGATAAGGGGAGAAGGCTAAGGCTTGGGAACCTCTTTGGTTTGGAGCTCTTGGAGTAACTGAACTCCTGCCAGTAAGAGGACTGTGGCCTCAGTGACTGGCTCAGGTGGCACTGGGTCAGAGGTGGGCATGCAACCCTAGCTGAGCCAATCTGAATCAGTCCTGAGACTTTTGCTATCTAACTGTTGAGACTTCTTTCCCTGCTTAGTTACTGGACTGATTAAAATGTGCACCACTCTGGTCGGCTGCGGCAGCTCACGCCTGTCATCCCAGCACTTTGGGAGGCAGAGGCGGGCAGATCACCTGAGGTCAGGAGTTCGAGGCCAGCCTGACCAACGTGGTGAAACCCTATCGCTACTACAAATAACAAAAATTAACCGGGCGTGGTGGCACGTGCCTGTATTCCCAGCTACTCAGGAGGCTGAGGCAGGAGATTCGCTTGAACCTGGGAGACAGAGGTTGCAGTGAGCCGAGATTGTGCCATTGCACTCTAGCCTGGGCGACAGAGCAAGACTCTGTCTGGGGAAAAAAAAAAAAAAAAAAAAAAAAAAGTCCTGGCTAAAATAACAAGCAGCAGCAGGATGGAGACCAAGGCGTCATTTGGTGAGACGGAGGCTAATGTCCTGGGCTGGTGGGCTCCTGCCTTGCATGTACCTGCATGTCAATCAGACTCACTCATGGAGGAAACTGTCACACACGCTCCAATTCACACAGTGAGAAAGTGTGGGACCTGGATTCTGAAGCTGGGCACGCTGATTCCAAACCCGAACGCTTCCCTCTCCTAAGTGGCCAAGGTTGCTGGCGGCCCCACAGCTGAACCCCAGGCTTTCGGTCCCAAGCTCAAGTTGGGCACCCCACACTCTAGACCAGTGCCTCCCAACGTTGACGGTTGGGCTGGGAGTCTTATTAAAGTCCAGATTCCAATCCGGTTCAGGGATGGAGCCTGGAGTTCTGCGTTTCTGACACATTCCTCGATAATCCCGTCACAGGTCCAGGGAGCACAGTTTGAGCAGCGAGGTCTTTAGGGGAAAAGCTTAGGGTTCATTGAAATGGGCAGAGATCCTTGGGGACTTCCTGATGTACGTGTATGAAAGGAAGAAAATCGGCAGTTCAGACCCGGATGACCCCCCAAAGTCACCTCACCAAGCTGCATGGGTTTCTTGAACAGCAGAGAGTCACCTTTGAAAATGGTTCCCCTGGGCCAGGCGCGGTGGCTCATGCCTGTCATCCCAGCACTTTAGGAGGCCGAGGCTGGTGGATCACCTGAGGTCGGGAGTTCGAGACCAGCCTGGCCAACGTGATGCAACCCCATCTCTACTAAAAATACAAACTTAGCCGGGCGTGGTGGCAGGCGCCTGTAATCCCAGCACTTTGGGAGGCTGAGGCGGGAGGATCACCTGAAGTCAGGAGTTTGAGACCAGCCTGACTGATATGATGAAACCCCATCTCTACTAAAAATACAAAATCAGCTGGGTGCGGTGGTGGGCACCTGTAAGCCCAGCTACTCGAGAGGCTGAGACAGGAGAATCACTTGAACCTGGGAGGTGGAGGTTGCAGTGAGCTGAGATCATGCCACTGCAGTCCAGCCTGGGCAACAGAATGAGACTCCATCTCAAAAAAAAAAAAAGAAAGAGAAAATGGTTCCCCTGGGCTGGGCGTGGCGGCTCACACCTGTCATCCCAGCATTTTAGGCGGCCAAGGTGGGTGGATAACCTGAGGTCAGGAGTTCGAGACCAACCTGGCCAACATGATGAAACCGTCTCTACTAAAAATACAAAAATTAGTCGGGCGTGGTGGCTGGTGCCTGTAATCCCAGCTACTCAGGAGGCTGAGGCAGGAGAATCACTTGAACCCGGAAGGCGGAGGTTGCAGTGAGCCGAGATCGCACCACTGCACTCCAGCCTGGGCAACAAGAGTGAAACTCCATCTCAAAAATAAAGTTAATTAATACAAAATAATAAAAAATGTTTCCCCTGGTTGGATGACTTCACCGGGCCACCTATGGGTGCCCACAGAAGGGTCACCTACTTTTTGAATTCTACCATATGCACTGCTTGCTTCTGGGGTTCCCCGGCTGACTGCAGGGATTTTAGTGTTTACAAAGCACAGTCACGTCCTTTATCTCGGGTGATGCTCACAAAAGCCTCTGCTGGAGGCTCTTTCCTGCCACTTGATACCAGGAAACACTGAGGCTCAGCTAGTCAGGAACCGACCCTGGTCCCAGGCCCATCAGAGCTGAAGCTGGAGCTCCTGTCCTCTGACTCCGAGGCTGTGCACTTTCCACACCCTTTCCATCAGTTCACTCTCTGGGCATAAGACAAGTCTGCCAGCCCATCCCCACTCATCTGGTCCCTCCTGGGAACTGGGGCACTTTATGGACTGGGAGGATAAGGCCGGGGCCCCCACCAGCCCTTCTCCTTCCCCCAACCCACCACCTCTGCCCCTGAGGCTGGGTACACCCTTGAGCAGTCCTCACACCAGGCAAGCTGGCTTCCTCCTCTCCAAGGAGCTGGGTCTCACCTGTGAAGTTGACGGTCACGGCCACCATGATAATGACGATGCCCATGATGATGAGGGTAATGCTGAGCAGCCGAGCCAGGCGGCCCAGCCTCCGGGCGCCGTCCACGTTGCCCTGTTGCATGCTGCTTCGAGACTGCGGAGAGAGCACAGAGAGACCCCGGGAACCGGGAAGGCTGTGGGTCAGCTTCATGGGCCTCAGCAGGCAGCCCTGGGGTGGCCCTGAGCCTGGGCCTCCAGACACATCCCGTCCCCATGGCAGCCCACACTCTAGGGGAGAGGAAGAGGGCTGTCCCCGGAGAAGTGGCCAGGGCCTCTTGTGCAGACCCCTAACCACGCCTGTCCCTCACCAGCTGGGGACAGCTGGGAGCAGAACCCAGCAAAGCCTGGCACTTCTTCTCAGGGCGGTGGAGGAGGTGGCGGTGGCAGGCTAGAGACCGAGGGCCTGAGAAGGTGGACCAGGTCCAGGCCAACTGGCAAGAACAGACAGGCCAGGTGCCCCCGGACCCCAGCGCAAGCCTCAATTCTGCAGCGGCTTTGGGATCCCAAGACAGCCCCTGGGCTCTTCCTACAGCCTGACACGCTGGCCTCCTCTCCTCTGTAAGCACCCCCCACCCCTGCCTCCATAAAAAGAGACATTGTCAGCCGGGCGCAGCGGCTCATGCCTGTAATCCCAGCACTTGGAGAGGCTGAGGCGGGCAGATCATGAGGCCAGGAGTTTGCGACCAGCCTGACCAACATGGTGAAACCCCATCTCTACTAAAAATACAAAAATTAGCTGGGCGTGGTGGTGCACCCCTATAATCCCAGCTACTCAGGAGGCTGACGCAGGAGAATCGCTTGAACCCAGGAGGTGGAGGTTGCAGTGAGCCAAGATTGTGCCACTGCACCCTAGCCTGGGAGACAGCAAGACTCCGTCTCAAAAAAAAAAAAAAGAGTTTGAGACCAGTTTGGCCAATACGGTGAAACCCCGTCTCTAATAAAATACAAAAATTAGCTGGGCATGGTGGTGTGCACCTGTAGTCCCAGCTACTCAGGAGGCTGATGCAGGAGAATTGCTTGAACCCCAGAGGTGGAGGTTGCAGTGAGCCAAGATTGCGCCATTGCACTCCAGCCTGGTGACACAGTGAGACTGCCTCAAAAAAAAAAAAAAAAAAAGACACTGTCTTCACAGCCTCCATTTCCCACCCAAGAACCACATCCTCGTTCAATCAAGCCCACTTCCCGGATCACACAAAAGAATGAATGGCCTCGTGGTTGCCTGGGGAGACCAGGACTGGGTGGAGTCATGTGGCTTCACGGGGGCCTTGTTTTATGTATCACTCCTCGGTGAGCTCTGTTCTTCCTGAACCTAGTTCAACGGCTAAAACGGATGAGGGTGGGGACAGAGAGGGTCCTAGGAGGGTCCCGGGATGACTTGGTAGGAGGTGGAGCCCAAGCATCTCTAAGGGTCCTGTGTCCCTCCCTCCCTAGAACAGGCACACGCAGGAGTCCTCTGATGGTGTGGCTGATTTCAGGGCCTCAGAGAAGTCCTTGGTTACTTTATTTTCTGATTATTTGAGGCTCCTGAGTTCAACATGGAAATGCAGTTAAGTGTGATGAAGATGATGACAAAGAAGAAGACGATGATGATGATTTTACTTCATGCCAGGCAGCTTGCTAAGGACTGTACCTAGATTACCTCCTTTAGCCTCAGAATCACCCTAGGAGGTTGGCAATGCAGCCCCACCTCCCTGAGGAAGAAACTGAGTGTCAGAGCTGTGCCCCTCCCTCTCTGTGTTCTCTCTCTGCAGGTGCCCTCTTGGGGTCCTGTTCTCTTCACTGCTCAAAATTCTGACCAGCCTGCACCCAGCCCTGCACTTCCATTCCAAGCTCCGTCTGGGACAGCGTGACATCATCAAATTCAACCTGTGACATCATCAAACTCAACCCACAACATCAAACTCAACTCATGACATCATCAAACCCAGCCCATGACATCATCAAACCCAACCTGCGACATCATCAAACACAACCCACGACATCATCAAACTCAACCCACGACATCATCAAACCCAACCCACGACATCATCAAACTCAACTCGTGACATCATCAAACCCAACCTGCGACATCATCAAGCACAACCCACGACATCATCAAACTCAACCCACGACATCATCAAACCCAACCCACGACATCATCAAACTCAACTCGTGACATCATCAAACCCAACCCACGCCTTGTACCTCTCCTCCTCCTCCTTGCCGTAGCCTGAGCTCCGCTCCTCCCTCTCCGTGACGGCTCCTCTGCCCTCTGTTACAAAGCAGGAGCATCACCACTATCTTTTTTTTTTTTTTTTTTTTGAGACAGAGTCTTGCTCTGTCGCCCAGGCTGGAGTGCAGTGGCGCAATCTCGGTTCACTGCAAGCTCCACCTCCCGGGTTCAAGCCACTCTCCTACCCCAGCCTCCCAAGTAGCTGGGACTACAGGTGACCGCCACTACGCCCGGCTAATTTTTGTATTTTTAGTAGAGACAGTTTCACCATGTTGGCCAGGCTGGTCTCGATCTCCTGACCTCATGATCTGCCCACATTGGCCTCCCAAAGTGCTGGGAGTACAGGTGTGAGTCACTGTGCCCGGCCTCTTTCCTCTCAAAGATCTCCCCAGCACCAGTCTCTGTTCTTCTTCACCCTCTCCCCACGCCCCCGATTCACACTGTCTGTATTTGTAACAGGCCCTGTGTGAGACCCCAGGACGCAGCAGCGCGGAGGAGCATCCCGGCTCCTGTGCCCACAGAACTTCTGGCCCACTGGCCTCCTTTGTGATCACACGAAGAAAGGTAAAAATGCAACTGTGGTGGGTGGCATGACAAAGGAGAGGCACTTGATACCAGGAGAACTCGTGAAAGGGGAGAATCAGGGAAGACTTCCTGGAGGAAGGACATTTGAGTTGAGATGTGAAGGATGAGCAAGAATTAGATTGTTTGTTTCCAAAGGAAGGAGTATCCCAGGCAGAGATAACAGCCATGTGCGAAGGTGCTGCATGGCAAATGTGTAGATGTTCAAAAAACAGTCGCTGACTGAGGAGGTAGGAGGGACTGGACGGAGGTCAGCGTTGCTGGGGCTGATGGAGGGAGGATGGGGAGGCACAGAGGTGGGCAGGGCTAGGCCAGGCAGGGCTCGAGCAGCACCAGAAGGAGGGTGGTCCTTATACCATGAGCAGCGGGGCCCAGTGTAGGACGTGAGTCCCGAATGATAGGACTGGATACGGATTTCCAAAACACCCTTCTGTCTGCAGTGTGGGGAACAGAGGGGAGGCAGGGAGGTGAGTCGGGAGCTGTTGCAAAGGTTCAGTGAGATGATGGTGGCTGAGGCCATCCCAGCTGCTCAGCGTCTTCCACAGAACGAAGTCCAAATGCAGGCCAGCTTACATTTCCTGTTTTTTTGTTTGTTTGTTTTGTTTTGTTTTGTTTTGTTTTTGAGATGGAGTTTTGCTCTTGTTGCCCAGGCTGTAGTGCAATGGCGAGATCTCGGCTCACTGCAACCTCCGCCTGCCGGGTTCAAGCATTTCTCCTGCCTCAGCCTCCCAAGTAGCTGGGATTACAGGCATCCACCACGCCTGGCTGATTTTATATTTTTAGTAGAGATGGGGTTTCATCATGTTGGTCAGGCTGGTCTTGAACTCCCGACCTCAGGTGATCCCAGCCACCGCGCCTGGCCTACATTTCCTGTTTTATCCTCCACTATTTTCTTCCACAACCACTGGGCCCAGCCAGTCTGAGTTGCTTGAGGTTCGAGTATCAACCTCCACAGGGCTTTATTCTGGCTGTTTCTCCAAAGCACCATATGTCCAAATCCCTCCATCCTTCAAGGGGTGGCTCCAAGGCCACCTCCTCTGTGAAGCCCACCAAGATTCCTCCAGCTCTGCCAGGAGAATAAACAACGCTGGCACTCTTTGAACGTGTATCTCGTGCTAGGTATGATGCCAAATTCTGCCACCTGTTAGAACAATTCATCCTCTGTGGTAGGCCGTTCTCACACCGCTAATAAAGGCATGCCCTAGACTCGGTAATTCATAGAGGAAAGAGGTTTAACTGACTCACAGTTCAGCATGGCCAGAGAGGCTCAGGAAACTTACAATCATGGCGGAAGGGGCGGTAAACACGTCCTTCACCACATGGCGGCAGAAAGGAAAAGTGCCGAACAAAACGGGGAAGCCCCTTATAAAACCATCAGATTGGTAGGCGCGGTGGCTCACGCCTGTAATCCCAGCAGTTTGGGAGGCCGAGGCAGGTGGATCACCTGAAGTCGGGAGTTTAAGACCAGCCTGGCCAACATGGCAAAACCCTGTCTCCACTAAAAATACAAAAATTAGCTGGGCGCGGTGGCGGGTGCCTGTAATCCCCGCTACTCAGGAGGCTGAAGCAGGAGAATTACTTGAACCCGGGAGGCGGAAGTTGCAGTGAGCCGAGATCACACCATTGCATGGCTGAGGTGAGTGGATTACCTGAGGTCAGGAGTTCGAGACCAGCCTGACCAACATGGTGAAACCCCGTCTCTACTAAATACAAAAAAATGAGCGGGGCATGGTGGCACCTGCCTGTAATTCCAGCTACTTGGGAGGTTGAGGCAGGAGAATCGCTGGAACCCGGGAGGTGGAGGTTGCAGTGAGCCAAGACTGTGCCACTGCCCTCCAGCCTGGGCCACAACAACGAAACTCTGGCTCAGAAAAAAAAAAAAAAATCCATCAGATCTCGCGAGAACTCACTCATTATCGCGAGAGCAGCAGCGTGGGGGTAACCACCCCCATGATTCAATGACCTCCACCGGGTCCCTCCCAGGACACGAGGGGATTATGGGGCCTACAATTCAAGGTGAGATTTGGGTGGGGACACAGCCAAGCCATATCACCTTCCTAACACTCCAGTGAGGCAGGGATTGCGATTAGTCCATTTTACAGACGAAGAGATGGGGGCAGAGCACAGACCATGATGTGGGCGTGGTACAAGAAGCAACTGGGGAGGGGGAAAACGCCAGATCAACAAGGACCCTCGGCCAGGAGCAGTGGCTCACGCCTGTAATGTCAGCACTTTGGGAGGCCAAGGTGGGCAGATTGCTTGAGGTCAGGAGTTCAAGACCAGCCTGGGAAACATGGCAAAATCCCACCTCTACAAAAAATACAAAAATTAGCCGGGCGTGGTGGCATGTGTCTGTAGCTTCAGCTACTCGGGAGGCTGAAGCAGGAGGATCACTTGAGCCTGGGAGGCGGAGGCTGCAGTGAGCTGAGATCACGCCATTGCACTCCAGCCTGGGCAACAGAGCGAAACTCCATCTCAAAACAAAACAACAAAAAGGGCCCTGACTGTCACATAAGGGAGTCGGGATTTTGTCCTGCAGGAACAGGGAGCCAGTGAAGGATATTAATTGGGACAGGATCAGATTTGCATTTTAGGAATGTTCTCTGACTACTGTGTAGAGTACGGGGTGGAGATTGAGAGCAGACAGTTTCAAAGACTGGAAGGAAGTAGAGAATTGGAAAAGAGTTCAGGTTTGAGAAGTTCTGAAGATAGAATCCATGGGTTTTGGTGAAAGATGAGATGGAGTATGGGGGAGGAACAGGACTTGAACAGTTCCCAGGTTCCCGGCTTGGGTGCTGGGAGGAACATGATTCAGACGATTCCGGGGTTCCCGGCTTGGGTGCTGGGAGGAACGTGACTCGAATGATTCCCAGGTTCCCAGCTTGGGTGCTGGATGAGTGGAGGTGCCCTTCCTCCAGCTGGGACTCAGGAAGAGGGCCGTGCAGTGTTTGGACTTGTATTTGGGCAGAGGTGCGGGGTGCCATGAGTATGTAGCTGGACTTGGATAAACCGGTCCCAGCATGCAGGAGTCGTCACACGGGGATGCAATTGAGGCCATCCAGGGGCAGATGGAAAGAGGAAAGGTCCACAGACAGGACTGTGGGGAACACTGACTCATAAATAAAGGGGTGCTGGGGAGAAGAAGGCTGCAAGGGAGCCTGAGGAGGAGTGGGAGAGGGTGGGAGGGGCAGCATCTGGGAAGCACAAGATGGGAAAGAAGGAGGGAGTGGCTGACAGTGCCGTGTCCGGCATAGGTCAAGCAAGATAAGGATGAAATATGGAACTATCGGCAATGCTGGTCATGCTTACCCTTGGCAGGAGGTTTCAGAGGAGCCGGTGGGGGATGAGGAGCCCGTGGGGGATGAGGAGCCGGAGGGGGTTGAGGAGCCCATGGGGGATGGGGAACCAGTGGGGGATGGGGAACCTGGTGGGGGATGGGGAACTCGTGGGGGATGAGGAACCCATGGGGGATGAGGAGCCTGTGGGGGATGGGGAGCCCCTGGGGGATGAGGAACCCGGTGGGGGATGAGGAACCCGGTGGGGGATGAGGAGCCGGAGGGGGTTGAGGAGCCCGTGGGGGATGGGGAACCCGTGGGGGATGAGGAGCCGGAGGGGGTTGAGGAGCCCGTGGGGGATGGGGAGCCCGTGGGGGATGGGGAGTCCGGTGGGGGATGGGGAGTCCGGTGGGGGATGGGGAACCCGTGGGGGATGGGGAGTCTGGTGGGGGATGGGGAACCCGTGGGGGATGAGGAACCCGTGGGGGATGGGGAGCCCGTGGGGGATGGGGAACCCGGTGGGGGATGGGGAGCCCGTGGGGGATGGGGAGTCCGGTGGGGGATGGGGAGTCCGGTGGGGGATGGGGAACCCGTGGGGGATGGGGAGTCTGGTGGGGGATGGGGAACCCGTGGGGGATGGGGAACCCGTGGGGGATGAGGAGCCCGTGGGGGATGGGGAACCCGTGGGGGATGGGGAGCCCGTGGGGGATGAGAAGCTGGAGGGGGATGGGGAGCCCGTGGGGGATGGGGAACCCGTGGGGGATGGGGAGCCCGTGGGGGATGGGGAACCCGTGGGGGATGGGGAACCCGGTGGGGGATGAGGAGCCCGTGGGGGGTGGGGAACCCGTGGGGGATGAGAAGCTGGAGGGGGATGGGGAACCCATGGGGGATGGGGAACCCGTGGGGGATGAGAAGCTGGAGGGGGACGAGGAGCCCATGGGGGATGGGGAACCCATTGGGGATGGGGAACCCGTGGGGGATGAGAAGCTGGAGGGGGATGGGGAGCCCGTGGGGGATGGGAAACCCATGGGGGATGGGGAACCCGTGGGGGATGAGGAACCCGTGGGGGATGGGGAACCCAGTGGGGGATGAGGAACCTGTGGGGGTTGGGGAACCTGTGGGGGATGAGGAGCCCATGGGGGATGGGGAGCCCATGGGGGATGGGGAACCCGTGGGGGATGAGGAGCCCGTGGGGGATGGGGAACCCGTGGGGGATGGGGAACCCGGTGGGGGATGAGAAGCTGGAGGGGGATGAGGAGCCCGTGGGGGATGGGGAGCTGGTGGGGGATGAAGCTCAGACAGCACGTGGAGGCAGCTCTTAGGAGCTCAGCAGTGGAAGCGAATAGGTGATGGCAGAGCAAATACAACCGGGTGGATAAAAGGGGTTTCTTCCAGACGGGAGAGGAAGAGAGCTGCAAAGAGGGAAGGGGGATGAGACTGAGGAGTGATGGGTGCCATGATGTCCCCGGGCAACAGAGAGAGGCTGAGGTCAGGACTAGAGTTCAGGGATGGCCTGTGGACAGAGTGGGGAGGGCACTCTTGTTCTTAGAAATTGGATGAGAGGGCCAGGTGCAGTGGCTCACGCCTGTAATCCCAGCACTGTGGGAGGCTGAAACGGGGAGGTCACCTGAGGGCAAGAGTTCAAGACCAGCCTGACCAACATGGTGAAACCTTGTCTCTACTAAAAATACAAATATCAGCCGGGCTTGATGGCATATGCCTGTAGTCCCGGCTGCTCGGGAGGCTGAGGCAGGAGAATCACTTGAGCCTGGGAGGTGGAGGTTGCAGTGAGCCAAGATCGCACTATTGCACTCCAGCCTGGGTGACAGAGCGAGACTCTGTCTTAAAAACAACAGGCCAGACGCAGTGGCTCACACCTGTAATCCCAGCACTTTGGGAGGCTGAGGCAGGTGGATCACGAGGTCAGGAGATTGAGACCATCCTGGTAACACAATGAAACCCCATCTCTACTATAAAAATACAAAAAATTAGCCAGGCGTGGTAGTGGGCCCCTGTAGTCCCAGCTACTTAGGAGGCTGAGGCAGGAGAATGGCGTGAACCTGGGAAGCGGAGCTTGCAGTGAGCAAAGATTGTGCCACTGCACTCCAGACTGGGTGACAGAGCGAGACTCTGTCTCAAAAAAAGAAAACAAAAAAAAACAAAAACAACAATAACAACAAAAAGAATTTGGAACTGTACCTAACATTTAGTAGGTACTCAGTGAGTATTAGTAATATTAGCCCTCAACACTGGGCTCCCTCAACTCTCTCCTCCCTGGCTACTGATTTTTCCCTTTAGAAATTCATTTCCACAACTACACTCCACCCCTTTGCCATCCCCTGACCTGATTCCTCCTTTGAAACTCAACTCCCAACTTCCCTCTCACCCTCTCATGCCCTTTGTCTTCTCTCAGCCCATGGCCCCTTTTCTCTTCCAAGTCTATCACCATCTTCCTGGCCTCGCTCCCTCCCAGCACAGCCCAACCCTTCGATGTGTCATCTCAGCCACCTCACCAGCATCCTCCTCACCACCTGGCCCTGCTCTCACAGCAACTCTGCCATCCTCAGACTTGGGTTGACCTGATATGCATGTCTGGGAACCTACACCTACAGCTGGAGCAAATCACACCCGGCTGGCCAATAACAACACTCCACAGGCCGACAACAACACCCCACAGGCCGACAACAACACCCCACAGGCCGACAACACCCCACGGGCTGATAACACCTGACAGGCCAATAACACCCCACAGGCTGATAACACCCCACAGGCCGAAAACAACACCCGCAGGCCGAAAACAACACCCACAGGCCAACAACACCCCACAGGCTGATAACACCCCTCAGGCCAATAACAACACCCCACAGGCCGATAACACCCCACAGGCCGAAAACAACACCCCACAGGCCAATAACACCCCACAGGCCGATAACACCCCACAGGCTGACAACACCCCACAGGCTGACAACACCCACAGGCCAACAACACCCCACAGGCCGATAACACCCCACAGGCTGATAAAAACACCCCACAGGCTGATAACATCACCCCACAGGCCGATAACAACTCACAGGCCGACAACAACACCCCACAGGCTGATAACAACCCGCAGGCCGATAACACCCCACAGGCCGATAACACCTCACAGGCCGACAGCAACACCCCACAGGCCAACAACACCCCACATCTGTGGTCTCCAGCCTCAGCAGAGGCCTTGGGCCATTGGCCTGTCTGTGCCTGGTCACCTCCCCTCCCTGCTGCCACCAGGCCCCTAGTTCTTAGCAAACGACCTTGGACCCACATCCCTGGAGGCCTGGTGGCCGTGCAGCGTGAGCCAGCCCCTTCCCTCTGAGCAGTTCCATCGGCCTCTGCCCTCACGGCCTCTCCTTCAGGCTGCCAGGGACAGGGTGTCTTTCTTCCTGGGCTCTGGATCGCATCTCTCCACTGCTTCCAGGACCTCAGCTCATCCATCATCCCTCCCATTTTGCCAAGGCCCCTCCATCCCCCGGTCACCAGGGATCTATGCGTGGCCAAGGCAGTGGATGCTTCCATGCTCATTGAACCTGAGCGGCCTCGGAGCTGGCCGCTCCCTCCTTCAGACTCTCTCCTCCCTGGGTGTCTCTGCCCCTTTCCAAGATTTCCTTCCACCTCCTGGAATCTCCTTTTCAAAATACTTTTCTGTCCACTCCCCTCGGCCCTCCCCCTAGATGTTAGAGACCCCCACATCTCTCTGATGTGGCTCCAGTTTCCCCCTCCCCTCCCCTCCTCGACCTTACCCTTCCCTTCCCTTCCCATTTTTTAGATGGAGTCTTGCTCTGTAGCCCAGGCTGGAGTGCAGTAGCACAATCTCAGCTCACTATAACCTCCGCCTCTGCCTCCCGAGTCCTGGTTCAAGCGATTCTCCTGCCTCAGCCTCCAGAGTAGCTGAGATTACAGGCGTGCGCCACCACGCCCGGCTAATTTTTGTATTTTTAGTAGAGATGAGGTTTCACCATGTTGGCCAGGCTGGTCTTGAACTCCTGACCTCGTGATCCACCCGCCTTGGCCTCTCAAAGTGCTGGGATTGCAGGTGTGAGCCACTGAGCCCAGCCCTCTTTAATTTTTTGAGATGGAGTCTTGCTCTATTGCCCAGGCTGGAGTGCAGTGGCACAATCTTGGCTCATTGCAATCTCTGCCGCCCGGGTTTAAGTAATCCTCCTGCCTCAGCCTCCTGAGTAGCTGGGATTATAGGTGTGTGCCGCCACGCCTGGCTAATTTTTTGTATTTTTAGTAGAAACGGGGTTTCACCATGTTAGCCAGGCTGGTCTCGAACTCCTGACCTCAAGTGATCCACTTGTTGTCTCCCAAAGCGCTGGGATTACAGGCACGAGCCACTGCACCCAGCCAGAACTTAAATTCCTAAGCAAGTCCCTGCTGCCTCCCTCTCCCATCACACCCCTTGCAGCCTTCTGCCATGTCAGCCAGACCGTCTACTTATCCCATCCATCTGCTTCCCAAATGCCAACACGGTGCCTGGTTCATAAAAGAGGTGCATTCAGCCGGGTGTGGTGGCTCACGCCTGTAATCCCAGCACTTTGGGAGGCCGAGGCGGGTGGATCACGAGGTCAGGAGATCGAGACCATCCTGGCTAACACAGTGAAACCCCGTATCTACTAAAAATACAAAAAATTAGCAGGGTGTGGTGGCGGGCGCCTGTAGTCCCAGCTACTCAGGAGGCTGAGGCAGGAGAATGGCGTGAACCCGGGAGGTGGAGCTTGCAGTGAGTTGAGATTGCGCCACTGCACTCCAGCCTGGGCGACAGAGCAAGACTCCATCTCAAAAATAAATAAATAAATAAATAAAAGAGGCACATTCATTCACAGGGGCCTGACCGTCCTCTACTACTTAGTTCCCTCAACACAAGCAACTTGCTGTTCAAGTCGACTGAATGAATGAATGGTCGGTACAACCCACTCTTAGAGGGTTTCAGAGCCACCTCTGGCCCTGTCCCTGGCCCTGGTCCTGGCCTCTTCGCCTCTTGCCTGCATTCCTACGAGGGTCCCCTCTGCTGAACGCCAGCCTCATCCCCTCCAACCCCTCCTCTCACCCTGCCCCAGACTGATCCAGCAAAATGGAGATCCAACCACACTCCTCTCGGCTGCAAAGCCTACAGCGTGCTGCTACGGCACTGCGGCAGGGATGACGCTTGAAGACGACATGCAAAGTGAACGAGGCCAGGAACACAGGCCTCATACTGTATGATTCCATTTATCATTTCATGTCCAGAATAGGCAGATCTAGAGAAACAGAAAGGAGATGAGTGGTTGCTCAGGGCTGGGAGGGGCAGGGATGGAGAGTGACAGCTGAAGGGGACAGGGTTTCTTTCTTTCTTTTCTTTCTTTCTTTCTTTCTTTTTTTTTTTGAGACAGAATCTTGCTCTGTCGCCCAGGCTGGAGTGCAGTGGCACCATCTCAGCTCACTGTAAGCTCCGCCTCCCGGATTCACGCCATTCTCCTGCCTCAGCCTCCTGAGTAGCTGGGACTACAGGCGCCCACTGCCACCATGCCCGGCTAATTTTTTGCATTTTTAGTAGAGATGGGGATTCACCGTGTTAGCCAGGATGGTGTCAATCTCCTGACCTCGTGATCTGCCCGCCTCGGCCTCCCAAAGTGCTGGGATTACAGGCATGACCACCACTCCCGGCCCTTTATTTTATTTTATTTTTTTTGAGATAGAATCTCACTCTGTTACTCAGGCTGGAGTATAGTGGCTGGATCTCGGCTCACTGCAACCTCTGCCTCCAGGGTTCAAGTGATTCTCCTGCCTCAGCCTCCCGAGTAGCTGGGATTGCAGGCACATGACACCACACCTGGCTAATTTTTTTGTATTTTTAGTAGAGATGGGGTTGCACCATGTTGGCCAGGCTGGTCTCGAACTCCTGATCTCAGGAGATCCACCCGCCTCGGCCTCCCAAAGTGCTGGGATTACAGGCATGAGCCACTGCGCCCGGCCAGGGTACAGGGTTTCTTTTGGAGATGAGGCAAATGTTCCAAATTGACTGCGGTTGTTGCACCTGTCTGTGAATACACTTTAGATGGGTGCATCATATGGTATGTGAGTTATATCTCAACAAAGCCATTTCTAAAACACCAGGATGGCTTCCTGCCTCCCCCGGGAGGCTCCCCGCTGCCACTTACGTACCCATTATCCTGTAAGAGCCCCACACCCTCCTGGTGTTGTTCTGAAGCACTGGGTGTGGCCCGTCTCATTTCACCCCCTCACGGCTCTCTCGTGCAGGCATTGAGGTTATACCCATTTTGCAGATGGGAATGCCAGGGAGAAGAGCCGTTTGAATGACTTTCCCAGCTCATTATCTTAACTTTATGTCTACCACGGGCACTTCTGGAAATATGTCATAAGAATCTGTTTAAGAGTTCCTTCCTGCCGGACTGGAGGTTCTGGGGAATTGGCAACAGTGTCTGGTTAGCAATGTATTCCCTGTGCCCAGCCTGGTATTCATCACACCTGACTCAAAAACGTAAAAGGGGCCGAGTGTGGTGGGCACTTGCCTGTAATCCCAGCACTTTGGGCGGCCGAGGTGGGAGGATCACCTGAGATCAGGAGTTTGAGACCAGCCTGACCAACATGGAGAAACCCCGTCTCTACTAAAAATACAAAAATTAGCCAGGCATGGTGGCCAGCGCCTGTAATGCCAGCTACTTGGGAGGCTGAGGCAGGAGAATTGCATGAACCTGGGAGACGGAGTTTGCAGTGAGCCAAGATCGCACCATTGCACTCCAGCCTGGGCGACAGAGCGAGGCTCCGTTTCAAATAAAACAAAACAAAACCTTTAAAGAATATAGAAACAGGCCAGGTTCAGTGGCTCACACCTGTAATCCCAGCCCTTTCGGAGGCCGAGGTGGGTGGATCACGAGGTCGGGAGTTCAAGACCAGCCTGGCCAACATGGTAAAACCCCGTCTCTACTAAAAATACAAAAATTAGCCAGGTGTGGTGGTGGGCTCCTGTAATCCCAGCTACTCAGGAGGCTGAGGCAAGAGAACTGCTTGAACCTGGGAGGCAGAGGTTGCAGTGAGCCGAGATCGCACCATTGCACTCCAGCCTGGGTGACAGAGCAAGACTCTGTCTTAAAATATATATACATATACGTACATATATACATATATACGCATATGTACATATACGTACATATATGTACATATATACGCATATGTACATATACGTACATATATGTACATATACGTGCATATATGTACATATACGTACATATACGTGCATATACGTACATATACGCACGTGTATACGTACATATACGCACGTGTACACGTACATATACGCACGTGTATACGTACATATATGCACGTGTATACGTACATATATGCGTGTATATGTACATATGTGCATTTATGTGTACACATATACGTATATATGTACATATATGTATATATGTGTATACATGTACATATGTGTACATATGTGTGTATATATGTACATATGTATATGTACATATGTGTATATCTGTATATATGTACATATATGTACACGTGTGCATATATGTACATGTATGTGCATATATGTACATGTATGTATATGTATATATAGAAACTCACTGGGGCAGGTTCTGTGGTCTCATTGCCTTGGGCTTAGGCTCTGTTTGTCAGAGGCAGGTCCTGCCCAGCCTGCACCCTGCCACCCCACCAGGAGATGGATTCCAGCAGCTGTTTTCTCCTGAGCCCTTGGGTAGCTTCCCTCCCCAAATCCAGTTTCCCCTCCTGGGGCCTTTCCCTGTAACCAAGAGGCAGGCCCTGCCCACAGCCACTGGCTGCACCCCTGGGTCCTGGCTTTACCTGCAAGCGGTCCCCAGGTACAGCAGGCATCACAGAGAGCTGCCCGGAAGGCCCCTGCCCGGCCCTGCTTCCACAGCCCATGCCAAGTCCCTCAGACTCAGGAAGGCTGCCAGTGCCCCCTGATGTCCTGAAAGGTAGTACTGGCTTTGGTGGGATGGGGAAGGCTTCCCTGCTGGGAGACTGGGCCTCCCTGAGGTAGACAGAGTGGTTTGAAGAAATAGGAGCTTTCTCAGAGGACAGCTCCTGGGGGTTCGGTGATGGTGACTCTGCAGGGAGTCACTCTTGGGAACCCCCCTCCACACCTAGTCCTCTGGCCCTGACCAGCCTGGGCCAGCAGTTTTCTACCCCCTGCCCCTGACCTCACTCTGAAATCATTGCTGAGCCCTGCTTCTCCCTCTCCCCACCCTTTCATAACTCTCGCTTCTTCCTGGACTTCAAAAGTCACTTGCCAATATCTGCTGACATTTTCTATGGAATCCTTTATAAGTAGCTCTACCCAAAGGGCTTGGGTTGGAGACAATCTAAGACAATTCATTCAAAATCCCATGGAAGTACAGACCCGGCCCCATGCCCCTTCCTGGGCATGGCAGGCCATGCCCTCTGACTCTCACATTTTTCACTTGTGACCCAGACCTCCCCTGCCCTGAAGACGAGGCTGAAGTCAGCGTAGCTGTGGAGCTGCAGAGGGCTCCGGAGGGAACTCCACGCCTCGGGAGGAGCAGTCTGCCAGCTCTCCCCGCTTTGTGCGCCCCTCGGGGGAGCCTGGCCCCGGAGCCCTCAGGGTACGGCAGGGAAGCCGCTGCGACTCTTGGAAACCGGAGCCGGCAGAGGCTGGGAGCATGTCCAGGTGGCCTGGGAGGACACATGGGCGCTGGGACCCCCGTCCGGTGCAACCTCTGCTGAGACAGCCCCACTTGGCGATGACCCTTTGGGACCGCCCGTCCCTCCTAAAACAGCAAGACCCCCAGCCTGGCTATCTTTCTGCCCCGCGGGATGTATCGCCAGGCAGCTCCCTGAGGGCCCCTCCCCAGCAGACACAGGTGCAAAGTCGAGCTCTGATGCCCAGAAGCAGAGATGAGAGAACAGAGCAGGAGCTCTTCCAGCCCCGGGGCCCCTCTCTAAGAGGAAGGAGGAGGCCAGTGAGGAAAGGAGTCTTCCCCAAGCCCCCCACTCCCAGCTCTCTCTTCTCCACACCCTGGGCAGTGTTTGGTGCCTGCCTGGGGGAAACACCTGCCGACCCCTGGGCCCAGCCCCTGCCCCTGGAACAAAGACCAGCACTTACCATGATGGAAATGATGAGGGGGATGAGGTTGAGGGGCCAGACGGGGCAGAAGCAGGCGACGACGGCCAGGATGAGGTAATCTCTGGGGGCTTCTTGGTCTTGGGCATAGGAGGTGGTGGCGATGGAGGACGCCCTCCTTGAGCTGGCCCGGGAGGGGGACCGAGGCAGTGGGGCCTCCAGGTGCCCCTCGGAGATGGCCTTGAAGGGTAGGCCCTGGCTGTTCTGCTCCAGATCCAGAGGCCCCGAGAGGGTCTTGGACAGATTCAGGGTCTTGTCATCCTTGTTCTCTGCCTTGGTGAGGAGTATCTCCATCTCCGGCAGGTCCAGGAATGCGGCGGAGCCTGGCTCCTGTGCTGAAGGAAACTCGGACTGCACCGGGTGGGCCATGGGGGCCTGGGCCTTGCGCGGCTGCAGCTCCAGGCTGGGACAAGGGGCTCTGGAGGGACCTCAGCGCGCCATTCCCCAGCCCAGACTGAGGGCCTCCAGGTCGGGGGCAGGGGCGTCCCTCAGGAGACGGAGGGCCGGCTGGGTGCTGGAAGGGTTGGGCTGAGCTTCTCAAGCCAGCTGAGTTCAGAGGCTGGGGCCTGCCTGCTGCCCCCGCGGAGCTCCCAGAAAGACGCTGGAGCCTGCAGCTTTGTTCAAGTTTGAGGCCAACTTTGCTGGTGCTGCTGAGAGCACAGATGGGCAGGGAAGCAACGGAAAGCTCAGAGAGCAGAGAGAAGAATGCGCCTCTTCCCAGGGAGGCTCAGGCTCAGTCAGGGAGGCTGTGTGTGTGTGTGTGTGTGTGTGTGTGTGTGTGTGCGTGTGCGCACACGGCCTCCCTCCCTCTCCCCCTCCTTGGTGATGCTTTTCCTTTTCAATTCCCCTCTCCCCAGAGAACCACCCTGGCAGGATTTTGCCTCTGCCCCAGCCCAGCCCAGCCCAGCCCAGCTCTGCCCAGCCCAGCCCAGCCCAGCCCAGAGGGACTTGGGCCAGCCTCCGGTTTCTGTTGCAGCTCCAGGGCCTGCTCCTCTGGGCAGGGTCTCTGGATGGGGAGAAAGACACTTTGGGCCCCACAGGGATGTGTCTTCAGCTGTCCTGGGAACTGAGCCCTCCGCTGCTTCTTCCAAAGCAAGCGTGTACTTCTTTCTTTCTGTTGGGAAATGCTGGACCTTAGGGCCCCCTATTACATCCCACCCAGACCCTGACCCCCAACCGCTGGGAGCATCCAGGCCAAAGCCTGGCTCCCGACTCCAGAAGGGAAGGGGAGATGTGAGCACCAGGGTAGCCCCTGGATCCTGCCTGGACCCTGCATGGACCAGCAGGGCCCCATGAGTAGGTTTCTACGTAGCTCACCACCAGGTGGGGAAGAGGATAAGGGGGAGTGTTGGGTCCACCTCATGCCCATCAGAACGATTCTGGGGTGCTAAAGAGCCGGTGGCAGAGAGCCCCTAGGTCAGCTGCTCCGGGCAGATGCCAGCTCGGAAGGGCCTCAGGCTGTTTGTCCTATCGGATTCTCCTCCTTTGTTCTCTCTTAGGTTTTCTCCCTCTGTCTCTGCCTTCTTCTCTATCCTCGGCATCTCTTTCTATATTCCTGACGCCCCTCCTTACATTGTTTTACAAGTGTGATCTGGAGCCGCCACGGATGTGTGTGTGTGGTTTGAAAGTGGTTGTATGAAATAGTTTAAAATCCTACGATCAGGCGGGATGCCATGGCTCATGCCCATAAACCCAGCACTTCGGGAGGCCGAGGCAGAAGGACTGCTTTAGCCCAGGAGTTTGACACCAGCCTGGGCAACATGGCAAAATCCCATCTCTACAAAAAATACAAAAAATATATGGGCGTGGTGGTACATGCCTGTAATCCCAGCTACTTGGGAGGCTGAGGGAGGAGAATCGCTTGAGCCTGGGAGGTCCAGGCTGCAGTGAGCCGAGATCCTGCCGCACAGCTCAGTGGGAGATATGGGGCTGAAAGGACACCTGGAAATGAATAAGATTTGAAAACTCAGCCGGGCACGGTGACTCATGCCTGTAATCCCAGCACTTTGGGAGGCTGAGGCAGGTGGATCACTTGAGGTCAGCAGTTCGAGACCAGCCTGGCCATCATGGCAAAACCCTGTCTCTACTAAAAATACAAAAATTAGCGTGGTGGTGGGTGCCTGTAACCACAGCTACTTTGGAGACTGAGGCAGGAGAATCACTTGAACCTGGGAAGAAGCGAACGTTGCAGTGAGCCAAGGTTGCACCACTGCACTCCAGCCTGGGTGACAGAATGAGACTCCAACTAAAAACAAACAAACAAACAAACAAATAAAAAACAATGTTTGTGGCTTTGGGAGAACTTTGCAGGTTTCATAAATTTGACTATATTAAATTAAGAATTTTGCTCAGGCTGGGCATGGTGGCTCACGCCTGTAATCCCAGCACTTTGGGAGGCCAAGGTGGGCAGATCACGAGGTCAGGAGATTGAGACCATCCTGACCAATGTGGTGAAACCCCGTCTCTACTAGAAATACAAAAATTAGCTGGGTGTGGTGGCACATGCCTGTAATCCCAGCTACTCAGGAGGCTGAGGCAGGAGAATTGCTTGAACCCGGGAGGCAGAGGTTGCAGTGAGTGGAGATCATGCCACTACACTCCAGCCTGGGTGACAGAGTGAGACTCCTCTCAAAAAAATAAAAGAGAGAGAGAGAGAGAATTGTGCTCAATAAAGGAAACCCATTGTTATTTGCAAAATGAAGACCTTGGGGAGCCGCCTCGTCCTCCTCTCAGTCCTCAGGGAGGCCAGGTGTGGGGCCTGGGAGCGAGCTGGGCTCCCCTGCTTATGAGCGTCCAGAAATACGATAATCCTGTATAACAGGAAAGCTCCTTCACAGGGTGGCTAGGTGGGTCCCTGAGACCCCTTAGGCTCCAAGCCGGTATCCAGTTGGGCAGAATGCCATGGTACAGCCTTGGAGCTGACCCCTGGGTGGAGGGACGACAGCTACCCAGCCCAATTCGGTAGCCCCTAGCCACATGTGGCTTCCGAGCCCTTGAAATGTGACTCATCCAAGTTGAGATGTAAAATACACACAAGACATCGAAAACTGGGTCCAAACACAAAAAGAATGGAAAATATCTCATTAATACTTTTTATTGATTGTATATTGAAAGGATAATATTTTGGATATATTGGGATAAATAAAACGTTATTAAAATCAACATTATTGATTTCATCTGCTTATTTTTACGTTCTAAAAATGTGCCTAGTAGAAAATTAAAAAAATTTTTTTTTGAGACAGAATCTCGCTCTGTCACCAAGCTGGAGTGCAGTGGCGCGATCTCGGCTCACTGCAACCTCCGCCTCCCAGGTTCAAGCGATTCTCCGGCCTCAGCCTCCTGAGTATCTGGGATTACAGGCATGCACCACCACGCCTGGCTAATTTTTGTATTTTTAGTAGAGATGGGGTTTTACCATGTTGGCCAGGCTGGTCCCAAACTCCTGAACTCAGGTGATTCACCCGCCTCTGCCTCCCAAAGTTCTGGGATTACAGGCATGAGCCACCGCGCCCGGCCTCAACACATGATTTTAAAAATTCATTTCATATAAAAATTGGGGTTTCAGGCTGGGCACGGTGGCTCACGAGATAGAGTCTTGCTCTGTTGCCCAGGCTGGAGTGCAGTGTTGTGATCTTGGCTCTAGGCTTGCTGCAACCTCTGCCTCCCGGGTTCAAGCGATTCTCCTACCTCAGCCTCCCGAGTAGCTGGGATTACAGGCATCCACCACCACGTCCGGCTAATTTTTGTATTTTTAGTAGAGACAGGGTTTCGCCATGTTGGCCAGGCTAGTCTTGAACTCCTGACCTCAGGTGATCTGCCCACCTCGGCCTCCCAAAGTGCAGGGATAACAGGCGTGAGCCACCGCACCCGGCTATATGTTAAATTCTTGATGGAATAAAAGGAGGAAAGAAAAAACTAAGAAGTCCCCAGAGTAGTCCCTGGCACGAGGTTGCCTGGGCGGGCTGGGGTCGGGGGTAATTAGGGACCCACGTTTGCTCCGCCCGTGTGGGATGCTGGAGTCTCAGCGCCACCTCGTGGCAGGTAGTGATGAGGGGAATGACCAGAGTGGAGGGAGCCCGAGGGAGGCAGCAGCGGATTTGGGCTCCCGGCGGTGACCCCAACCTTTGAGCACCCTACATGCGAGGGATGCTGAGAGAGGACAGGGATGTGAACAGTGCGGGGGAGTGGACCTGCCCATGAGGGGTCCTTTGGGGGGTGAGGTGGGGCGGGGAAGAAACCTCAGAAGCATAAGCAAGTTCAAGCCGAAGCCCAGGGGAAGGAGAAACATCCTCCTCATATCTCTGCCCCACAGCCCTTTCATCCTTGGCGTCTCACTGGGTGTCAGGAAACCCTACGGGGCTGACAGGGAAGGTGCAATTGAGCCAATTCCTCTTCTCACTGAAGCCTTCCTGGGCCCCGTTCAGGAGTTCTGCTCCAGGAGTGAGAGAGTAGCCTCCTGACATCTGTGTACACACACACACACACACACACTCTCACACACTCTCTCTCACACACACACTCTCACACTCTCATACACTCACCCCACACACTCTCACACACTCACACACTCACACACTCACCCCCACACACATTCACACACCCTCAGTCACCCCCACACACTCACACACACTCACACACTCACCCACACACCCCCCCCACACACACATTCACACACACTCACACACTCACACACTCGCCCCACACACATTCACACACCCTCACACTCAGTCACCCCACACACTCACACACACTCATACACTCACCCCCCACACACTCACACACTCACACACTCACCCCACACACATTCACACACCCTCACAATCACCCCCACACACTCACCCCCACACACATTCACACACCCTCACACACACACTCACACACTCACCCCCACACACATTCACACACCCTCACTCACACACACACAGTCACCCCCACACACATTCACTCACACACACTCGCACACTCATTCACACACACACACGCACGTCCTTTTGTAAAGTGTGATAAACATTGACGTAATCGTGCGCCCATCAGCAAGCACCCCAGAATTTCACATCCAGGGAGGCGGGTCCACCTGAAGGAACCCACTGGGGATGCGTCTCCTTTCTGTCCTTGCTCAAAACACATCCCTACTCCTCTTGGGAGTTTTCCTAAGGAGACTGATCTTGCACTTTTTTTTTTTTGACACCAAATCTCACTCTGTTGCCCAGGCTGGAGTGCAGTGGTGCTATCTCGGCTCACTGCAACCTCCGCCTTCTGGGTTTCAAGTGATTCTCCTGCCTCAGCCTCCTCCCAAGTAGCTGGGATTACAGGCTCCTGCCACCATGCCTGGCTAATTTTTGTTTGTTTAGTGGAGACGGGGTTTCGCCATGTTGGCTGGGCCTAATTTTTCACCTTTTAAAATAACAATGATGAAGACTCTAATGAAAATTAGGCCGGGCGCGGTGGCTCATTTCTGTAATCCCAGCACTTTGGGAGGCTGAGGCGGGCGGATCACGAGGTCGGGAGACCATCCTGGCTAACACAGTGAAACCCCGTCTCTACTAAAAATATGAAAAAAAATGATCCGGGCGTGGTGGCGGGCGCCTGTAGTCCCAGCTACTCGGGAGGCTGAGGCAGGAGAATGGCGTGAACCCGGGAGGCAGAGCTTGCAGTGAGCCAAGATCACGCCACTGCACTCCAGCCTGGGCGACAGAGCGAGACTCCATCTCAAAAAAAAAAAAAAAAAAAAAAAAAAGAAAGAAAAAAAGAAAGAAAATTAAGGCCAGGCCCCTCATACCTGTAATGCCAGCACTTTGGGAGGCTAAGGCAGGAGGATCACTTGAGCCCCAGGTATTTGAGACCAGCCTGGGCAACATGGCAAAACCCCATCTTTACAAAAAATACAAAAATTAGCCGGCATGGTGGCACACGCCTGTATTCTCAGCTACTAGGAAGGCTGAGGTGGGAGGATCACGTGAGCCCAGGAGGTCAAGGCTACAGTGAGCCATGGCTTGGCGGCTCTGTCTTACACGTGCGTCTTTCCTTCCTGGCATTTTCCTTTCTCTATGCATTTCATGCCTATCATTGTGCCTTTTAAACAATATTTGGGCAAACCCATGTGATCTCAGTGGAAACCACCATTTTTTAATAATCATAAAATCTTTTCTTCACCACATATAAGTCATCTTGGAGAATGGACACGATCTTGGGAAGCAGACAGAAAAATCAAGCAAGGGTTCCAGAAAACCTCAACAGCACGTAACGGAGGCTACACAGGCCCAGGATCCCCTGCGGCATCAGAGAGATGAGGAAGCACCTGTTAGGTTGATACGTATATAGATACCCACACAAATATCCACGCAGCCACACATCTATGTGAGCACACACAAAATATGTACATATCACAAACTCAGAATCCTAGGCAAACATACAGCACCCAAACACACAGCCCCGGAAAAACCATGCTAGCAGCCAATGTGTCCCAGACTTTACAGTTGATAAAACAGCTTCCCATGCATTCTCTCCTTGTAACAACCTTGTGAACTGAATATGTCTGAACAGCCTCCACTCAGTCAGCGTTTACGTGGGCCAAGCACTGTGCTAGTGCTTTAAATGCATCCTCCCATTTACTCTCCAAAACAGCCTATGAAGTAAGTACTTATTCTAGCCCATTATACAGACGGGAACACCGAGGCTCAAAGCCGCCAGGTGATTGGCCCAAGATCACTCAGCTGGTCAGTGAGGAGCTGGAAGTCCAGAACTGTGACATCCCTGCCACTGAACTCATGGGGCTGCCGCATCAGGATTCTGCCTGCAGGGGTGTCCTTGCTATTTCCAGGCTGAGAGTGTGATAGGATGGGGGAGAAGAACCTTTCTTTCTTTTTCTTTTCTTTTTTTTTTTTTTTGAGAGAATCTCGCTCTTTTGGCCAGGCTGGAGTGCAGTGGCGCGCGATCTCGGCTCACTGCAACCTCTGCCTCCCGGGATCAAGCAATTCTTATGCCTCATCCTCCCGAGTAGCTGGGATTACAGGTGCATGCGCTACCACACCCAGCTAATTTTTGTATTTTTAGTAGAGATGGGGTTTCACCATGTTAGCCAGGCTGGTCTTGAACTCCTGACCTCAGGTGATCCACCTGCCTCTGGGCCTCCCACAGTGCTGAGATGACAGGCGCGAGCCACCACACCCGGCCCCCTTACTTCTTTCAGTTCTGGAATTTAGCAAAGTAGGACTTGCTGGTCCTTATATTGTGTTTCCAGAGGATAAATACCTGAGGCTGAAACATGGCTACAGCCTTGTCCAAGCTGGTTTCTCACAGGATCCTTATAGTACACAAACATGACAGCTTGTGAACACCTTCTGTTTGCCAGAAACGGTCCATTACGAACCACTTACAATCCTCACAGCCATCCTGGAATCATTCATGTCAGAGGGGAGGAACTAGAGGCTGAGAGAGGCGGCTGAGCAGGGGCTGGACCAGGGCAGGCCTGGCTCTTTCCTTCTCACTGGCAGCCCGTGGCACTGTGGGGCTCGGCGGGCAGGGCTGGGGCCAGCATCTCCTGCGTTGCTGCTCCTGGCTAGACCCACGTCCGCTCTCAATAGAGTCAAAGCCTTCCCGTGGTCTGTGTCACAGCCTCCCTGCGCAATTGGGAACCCTAAGGGCTGTGGCTGGGGACAGGATGCTCAGCGTGCCAGCCAGGGCTGGGGTTTGCAGACAGCAGAGGCACTTTTAACTGTAGAGGTGAGCCTCACCCCACGTGCTCTGGGAAACTCTCCCTGGGTTTACGCCTAATGGCGTTTCTCTAGCTTCTGTGGGATCCGCACTCTGAGCTAGCTGTGGGGAACCCTTCCCTCTCCTGTTGGCAAGAGCCCAGCGCTCCCCCAGCACCTCTGGGCTCTGGCCCAGCAGGCAGCCCTTGCAATATTAGACCCTTACCCTGAGCCGGGCCAGACACCAGCTCATCTCAGATGCAGGGCAGCTCTCTGGACAAAACTCTCGGGGCAGCTGGCTGTGTCTCTCACTAGCTCAGCAGGCTTGGCCTGAGGCCCCTCTGCCCTCACTCAACCCCCTCCCCAGAATCCTTCCTGGGTTCCAAGTCGGCCCCTCATTATGGGGGCCCTGGCCCACGGTTCCCTGGGAGCTCTTCCTGCCTGTCGCTCGGGGTACATGCACGCAGGACTTACCGGCCCCCAATCCTAGCCCTGCCCTTGGCCTCCTTCCCTGAGACCTGGCCAGAGTCCCCCTTCACTGTGGCTGCTTCCAGGCAGCTCTGCAGGGAGGTCCAGAGACGGGGCTGACCCCATCCTTAGACTCCCAGGCCCCGTGACCCCTCTCCTGATATCCTCTTCCACCCCAGGGGACTCAGGGAGGAGGGGTCTCTGGATGTCTCTTTCCTCCCCTTGGGCTCCCACAGTGCTCAGCCACACCTGGGGTCTTGCCATGAATGAGTTCCCCCAGGCGCCTACCTGTGGGCCTTAGGCCCCGCCCAGCATTCCAAGGAGAGCCCCCAGCCCTCAGGCGTTCCTGCCACCCTGGGCCACGGGGCCCACTGGAGTCGTGGTATCGGAGAGAAATGAGTTTTTCCTTTTATTTGGCTGCTGCCCCTGCCTGCCTCTCCCGGATCCTGCCTCTCCCGGATCAGGCTTGGGCAGCAGCGCAGGCAGGGAAGGGGACTCCGCACTCATGTGCCCACGAGACCACAGCAGGCCCCACCCGCATTCCCACGCTCCCACACCTCCTGCCTCAAAGCCCTCACTCTCCTAAAAGCATCGAGAACACACAGGGCTCGGAGGCGCAGGAGTGCGAAGGCGGCATTCCAAGACGAGTTCGAGTCCAAGATGAGTTCAGGATCCTGAGCCTTTCTGGCAACTGCCTCCCTAGGCTGGGATGTGGGGGCGCAGCCCCAGGCCCCGGAGCTCCTTCTCTCTGCCCCAGGCTGGGATGTGGGGGCGCAACCCCGGGTCCCGGAGCTCCTTCTCTCTGGCGAGCTCCTTCTCTTCCACGCCAGGTCTCAGCCGGTCCAGTTCTGCTCTGTCCAAGACGCCTTTGCAGTCCCGGGTTTTATAGTCCAGCTGCCAGCCCGGCCTCCCTGCAGCCCAGCCGGTGCCTCGAGGCCGGTCAGGAGCGCGGATGGCCCATCCCGGGGGCGGATCGCAGGTAGCCCCGCGGCCAGGGAGGCGGCCCGGCAGAGGAAGCCCCCGGACAGCGGCGCCAGCTTCCCCCGGAGGCCTGTGCTAGGCCCGGCCCCTCGGCCACCGCACTGGGCCGTGCCAGGGGCGCGTGCGGGGGGCACGAGGCGCAGCGGGGCGCGGACGGCACCGAGGGGCGGGCGGCGTCTGGGCGCGCGAGGCTGGGCCCTGCAGGCGGCGGGGGGCTGGCGCCTGTGTCCCCGGTGTCCCCGCGCGCGGCCGGGCCGTGGCACTCCAGGTGTCCGCAGGGCCCGCGGGGCGCGGGGCTGGCGCGCAGGACCAGGGAGAGCGCGGCGATGCGGTGGATGGCCCTGCGCAGCGTGGCGATCTTGGAGAGCCTCTTGCCGCCCAGGTCGTGCCGCAGCGCCCGGCGCAGCGCGTTGAAGGCCTCGTTGTAGTCTAGGATGCGCTTGCGCTCCCGCACGTTGGCGGCCATGCGCCGCGCCTTGGACCGCACCGGCCGCGCGCGCCTCCTGCCCGCCGGCTCCTCCGCCTCGCCCCGGCTGCAGGAAGCGCCGTTCGCCCCCAGCACCCCCGAATCGCCCCCGGGCTCGGGGCAGGGGCCCCCCAAGTCCTCCGCAGAGTCCTCGGCCCCCTTCCGCGCCGTGAGGCCTAGTCCTGGCGCGCCCCGCAGCATGGCCTTCCCGGGCACTCGCCCTCTGCCCCAGCCCCGGCCCTCTGCCCTCTGCCCTCTGCCCACTGCCTTGGCCCGGCTCGCGACGCGGACGGTCCCCGGCTCCTGGGGCTGGACACTCCCGAGACAGGCCCCTTCCAGCTGGGCTTTATGGCACCACGCGGCGCCCCGCCCTCCCGTCCATCCATCTCCCTCCTCCTGCTTTATTATCGGCCTCCAGGTAGGTCGGCGGGGGAGGAACCGAGGGGAAGAAGGAAAGCAAGGAGGGAAGCTTGCAGGTTCTTGTAAGCGGGGACCAGACGGGCAGCCCGGCCACGCTGCCCCGGGGACCTTGCCCTGCCTAGCTCTGGGGCCGCTGTGGGGTGTCTGGGTTCCACATTCTTCCTCCCCATTCCCAGATAAGGTGCTAAGTTTGGCTTCTAGCAGGAGAGCTGATAGGAATAAAAAGAGGCAGAGGGCCGGGCACTGGGGCTCACGCCTGTCATCCCAGCAGTTTGGGAGGCCGAGGCGGGCGGATCACTTGAGTTCAGGAGTTCGAGACCAGCCTGGCCAACAGAGTATATAAAACCCCGTCTACTAAAAACACAAAAATTAGCCGGGCGTGGTGGCAGGCGCCTGTAATCCCAGTTACTCGGGAGGCTGAGGCAGGAGAATGGCTTGAGCCCAGGAGCTGGAGGTTGCAGTGAGCCGAGATCGCACCACTGCACTCTAGCCTGGGAGACAGAACGAGACTCCGTCTCAGAAAAACAACAACAAAAACAACAACAAAACCTTGAAAGTTCTTGTCAAGTCCCGTGGGCAACCACAGAGATGTCACTGAGGAAAAGCATGAGTGTCCCGGCAGGACTCATATGGGAGGCGCAGGGCCCTGCAGGTAAAGCTGACCCAGAGCTTCCGGCTTTTTCAGCTATGGAGGGCGGCTGGCTGCAATTGGGGTTCGGGTTTTGGTTGGGCCTGACTCTCCCTCCACTGCCCTTTGACTCCCCTTCTGCAGGCAGAGCTGGGATGAGTCAGCAGCAGAGGGTGACGGGGAAGATCCCTTTGCAGCCCTGGGTCCACATCAGGGGCATCTTTGGGGTCCAGAGCCCTCGGGCAGCCCCATCTTGTGACACAGCCCTGCCAGGTTATGAACTCAATGAGCAGCCTCTGTCCTCTTCCCCCAGGGATTTGCATTTGAAAGAGGGTCTCAGAAAAAAGATGATGTTTATTCCCAAAGAAAGACCCCCAGTAGAATTTCCGGCATCCACAGCTGAGTTATTTGGAGCGCCTGAAGGCCACTCATTCCCAGTCACAATCCAAATGCCTCTAAGATGCCAAGGCCTATGGCATTGGAATGGGTGTGTGGTTCACATCCATCTCGCCAAAAGAGCATTGCCAATAACCCCATTATTTCAAACTGTGAATTTCTCCATAAAAGAAAATAATAAGGCATTAGGAAGCAGAGTGTATGTATTTACTTCTGTGATTGTCTGCCTTGCCCACTAGGATGAAAGCATCCTAAGGACATCTGTATTTCCCAGGTTCTATGTCCCCCAAATCTGCAATATATGTCGAATTATAAAACAGCTAGAGGCCGGGCGCAGTGGCTCACGCCTGTAATCCCAGTACTTTGGGAGGCCGAGGTGGGCGGATCACTTGAGGTCAGGAGTTCAAGACCAGCCTGGCCAACACGGTGAAACCCCGTCTCTACTAAAATACAACAATTAGCTGGACGTGGTGGCGGGGAGCCTGTAGTCCCAGCTACTCGGGAGGCTGAGGCAGAGAATCGCTTGAACCAGGGAGGCGGAGGTTGCAGTGAGCCGAGATCCCGCCACTGCGCTCCAGCCTGGCGGACAGAGCGAGACTCCGTCTCAAAAACAACAAAAAATAAACCAGAAAAAAAAAAAAGGTCAGTAAAAGCAAAGAAAATGCCCACGCAGCGCGCGTTTCCCGGTGGCGTTTCCCGGCCGCTCCCGCCCTTCCCCGCGCACGTCAGGAAACGGCCCCACGCGAAGAACCCCGAGGACCCGGGAGAGGCGCCCCCTCCTGGAACCCGGGACTCCCGGGCGCTGCGGGGCGCGGCCGACTTCAAAGCGAGCGGCGGGCCCGGCATTTCCGCGGCACCTGCCCGTGCCCGGGAGCGCGAGTTCTCGGCCCGGGCGGGGGCGGGCGGGGGCGGGCGGGGCGCCGTGATTTAGGGTCTGGCGGTTCCGCCGGCGGCCGCGTAGGTGCCTATTAGCGCCGGGCGGGGCCTGGGCTTCAAAAGTTCCGGCTCTTCCTCCGGAAGTTCCGGCGCCGCTCCCCGAGGGAGGACGGAACGCCCGCCCGGGAGAGAAAGTCCGGGAGCCGCTCACGGGGGCCTCGACCCCACCCCCTCCGGAGAGCGGGTCCCGGGAAGCCCTGAGCCTCCTTCTCTCCCAGGCGAGACCCTGGCGTTTCAACCCACACGCCCGGTGTGGAAGACGTAGGGGCGCAATTGCAGCCTCTGCCCCTTCATGCGCTCATTCAACAAAAACTTTTTTTTT
Source organism: Homo sapiens (assembly GCF_000001405.40). NCBI lineage: Eukaryota > Metazoa > Chordata > Mammalia > Primates > Hominidae > Homo > Homo sapiens. The sequence continues at coordinate 1,268,062 of NC_000017.11, read as the reverse complement.
TTTGAGACCGAGTCTCGCTCTGTCGCCCAGGCTGGACCGCAGTGTCGCAATCTTGGCTCACTGCAAGCTCCACCTCTCGGGTTCAAGCGATTCTCCTGCCTCAGCCTCCCGAGTACGTGGGATTACAGGCACCCACCATCGTGCCCAGCTATTTTTTGTATTTTTACCAGAGACGGGGTTTCACCATGTTGGCCAGGATGGTCTCGAACTCCCGGCCTTAAGTGATCCGCCCGCCTCGGCCACCCAAAGTGCTGGGATTACAGACGTGAGCCACCGCTCCCGGCCCTGAACTGGATTTCAAAGGATGAATAGCAGTTTGCCAAGCAGACAGGAGGTAGAGGGAACAGCAGGTGCCAGGCCCTGGAAGTGTAAGCGGTCACAGGATGATGCGAAAAATACAGGAAAGTGACTTTGCCAAACCACCAAATGTGAGGCCAGGGAGTGACGGGAGATAAGGCTGGAGATCACCAGGCGTCGTCCCAAAAGCTTGCTTTTCGCCCTGTAGGCAGCTGGGTACTGCAAAAGGTTATTAAGCAGAGGAATGTCAGCCGTATTTGAATTACAGCTAGAGCTCTTTGAGCAGTGTGGAGAATGGATGTTAAGACAAATTCCACTTAGGAAGCAAGGATCCTGGAGGAAGGGGGGGCCTGAGCTATGCAGGCAGTGGTGAGAGAAGGGCACGGAGTCAACACCTGTTTGGAAAATAGAATTGACATGTGGGGGTGCCAATGGGATAAAGCAGATGACAAAAAGGGGTGTCGTCTCCATATTCTCCTTTAAGAGCAGAAGCCTTAGTTCAGAGACTCTCTCTACAAAGGTCCAGCCATGGACATGGGGACAAGAAAGCCAGTGGCATATGGTCACCTCAGACCCAGGGCACCCACGACTTCGGTTATTTTTTTTTTTTTTTTGAGGTGGAGTCTCGTTCTGTCTCCCAGGCTGGAGTGCAGTGGCGAAATCTCGGCTCACTGCAACCTCCACCTCCCGGGTTTAAGCGATTCTCCTGCCTCAGCCTCCTGAGTAGCTGGGACTACAGGCGTGTGCCGTGGTGGATGTTTTTGTTATCACTGTTTGCTATGTGGCATTTGAACAGCCTTCCTATCTGGGGAGAAGGGAGCCTCCATGGTGGGGCTCTGGGTGGCAGAGATTTCTGGTAACTGGGACAGATGCGAGTCCAGGCACTTGGCTGCCTGACTTGAATCTGGAGTGGTGTCCCAAAGAAACAAACAGGTAACAGTGGAGAAATCACGGTGCCAGTGCGGGGCCTGTGGCCCTCCACGTCCTACACTGGCATCTAGAGGAGGTTCCTGGCTTGGCCGTGGGTCTAGCTGCCCAGTTTCCTATAATTCTTACGAGTTTCCCAACCTTAATTTCCCAGACTCTTTTCTTTTTTCTTTTTGAGACGGAGTCTCACTCTGTTGTGCAGGCCGCAGTGCAGTGGCGCGATCTCGGCCCACTGCAACGTCCGTGTCCCTGGGCAAGCAATTCTCCTGCCTCAGCCTCCTGAGTAGCTGGGATTACAGGCGCCCGCCACTACGCCCGGCTAATTTTTTGTATTTTTATTAGAGACAGGGTTTCACCATGTTGGCCAGGCTGGTCTTGAACTCCTGACCTCAAGCGATTGGCCTGCCTCGGCCTCCCAAAGTGCTGGGATTACAGGCGTGAGTGACTGTGCCCTAGACTTTTTTTCCGTTGATTTTGTGAGCTACCTCAGAGCCAATACCTGCCTCTTCCTTCTGCTCAAGTTGGATTTGGTTGTTTCCAACCAAGAATCCTGACAACACAGCGTAGAGATAAGCAGTCATCCTGGTCAACCTCGCTGACTCCCAAGCCAATCCCAACTTCAAGAGGTGCAGCAGGTGACTTAACCTCTCTGACCCTCACTCTGTTTCTTCATCTGTAAAATGAATTGGTAACTGCCACATAAGAGAGCTGTGAGCATTAAATGACACCATGCACAGAAAGCCCTTAGCACGGTACCTGGCACATTGTGGGCACTTAATAATTAGTTATGATCAGCTGGGCGCGGTGGCTCACGCCTGTAATCCCAGCACTGTGGGAGGCCGAGGCGGGCAGATCACCTGAGGTCAGGAGATCGAGACCATCCTGGCTAACGTGGTGAAACCCCGTCTTTACTGAACATACAAAAAATTAGCCGGGCATTGTGGCAGGCGTCTGTAGTCCCAGCTACTTGGGAGGCTGAGGCAGGAGAATGGCATGAACCCAGGAGGCGGAGCTTGCAGTGAGCCAAGATCGCGCCACTGCATTCCAGCCTGGGCGACAGAGCAAGACTCCGTCTCAAAAAAAAAAAAAAAAAAGTTATTATTGGCTGGGTGCGGTGGCTCATGCCTGTAATAGCACCGTGGGAGGCTGAGGCGGGCAGATCACCTGAGGTCAGGAGTTCGAGACCAGCCTGACCAATATGGTGAAATCCCGTCTCTACTAAAAATATAAAAATTAGCCGGGTGTGGTGGCGGGCACCTATAGTGTCAGCTGCTGGGGAGGCTGAGGTAGGAGAATCTCTTGAACTGGGGAGGCGGAGGTCACAGTGAGCCGAGATTACACCACTGCAGTCCAGCCTGGGTGACAGAGCAAGACTCCATCTCAAAAAAGAAAAAAGTTAATAATTAGTTACTGTTATTATTATCCTTTTTCTGGAGAATATACTCAGTACCCCAGGGTTTCTTTCCAACAAGCTCATGCACACATTTGGTCCTCTCCACTGCTGCCACTCCCAGCCCACAGAGCAGCGTCCCTCCATCCAGCACCTGCCGACAACTTGTTCTTTCTTGCTCTAATCTGGAATATTGCTTGGTCCTTCACCTGCACTCACCCCAGCCCTGCCTGTAACACTGAACAGCAGGGTGTTGTGTAGGCTCTGGAATAAGATTATCATTTATGAGCTGCGTAGCCTGGGCCAAGATGCTTCACTTCTTTTCTTTTTTTTTTTTTTTTTGAGGCGGAGTCTTGCTCTGTCGCCCAGGCTGGAGTGCGGTGGCATGATCTTGGCTCACTGCAACCACGACCTTTCAGGTTCAAGCGATTCTCCCGCCTCAGCCTCCCAAGTAGCTGGGATTATAGGTGCTTGCCACTATGCCTGGCTAATTTTTGTAGTTTTAGTAGAGAGGGGGTTTCACCATGTTGGGCAGGCTGGTCTCAAACTCCTGACCTCAGGTGATCCGCCTGCCTCAGCCTCCCATCAAGTGCTGGGATTACAGGCGTGAGCCACCGCACCTGGCTGATGCTTCACTTGTTTGAGCCTCCGTTTCCTTGTCTGTAAAATGAGGTATGCAATGGTACTGCTTCATCAGGTGATCCGCCTGCCTCGGCCTCCCAAAGTGCTGGGATTACAGGCGTGAGCCACCGCGCCTGGCTGATGCTTCACTTGTTTGAGCCTCTGTTTCCTTGTCTGTAAAATGAGGTATGCAGTGGTACTGCTTTGTCAGGTTTGTTGTAGGATTAAATGAAAGACCGTGTTTTTACGCTGTCAGTACAGGGCCTGGCTCCTAGAAGGAACTCTGTGAATATTAACTTTCTCTTCTTCCTACCCTCTGCTCCTTTCCCCAGCCAGCTTGGCCACTGCAGCTGTAAATCATCCAGATAAACAAGAGCATTCTCCTCCCTCCCACCCCAGTACCAAACTGCTCATCACCTCCACCCACTAATGACCTGGCGATTGGCTTCTCGTTAAAGAAATGACAAAGAGGCCTCTGTGCTTTTAGCTGGGGTCTAATCAGGCTTAGCTCCGTCCCAGAGTCAGTGTGGAGTAGGAATTCCAGGTCCAGGGCGGTGTGGGGAGGGCGGGTGGTGGTGGGTAGGTGGGTGCTGGCTTGGTGTGGACAGCGAGCTCTGCCTCCCGGGCCCAGGGCTGCTGAAGGCCAGGAACTCTCAGGAAAGAGCTCTGTTATTGGGAGGAAAAACAGGGTTCCTACCTGCTGCCCAGGAGGCTGAGAGCCATGTGTGGGCTCAAGAGATCTTTGCTACCCTCCTGAGGTTGGGCTTTCTCATCTGTTTGAGAAGAATTATAGGCCGGGCACGGTGGCTCACGCCTGTAATCCCAGCACTTCGGGAGGCCGAGGAGGGCAGATCACCTGAAGTCAGGAGTTCAAGACCAGTCAGGCCAACATGGTGAAACCCCGTCTCTACTAAAAATACAAAAATTAGCCGGGCGCGGTGGCTCACGCCTGTAATCCCAGCACTTTGGGAGGCTGAGGAGGGCAGATCACCTGAAGTCAGGAGTTCAAGACCAGGCTGGCCAACAAGGTGAAACCTCGTCTCTACTAAAAATACAAAAATTAGCCGGGCCTGGTGGCGTGCACCTGTAATCCCAGCAACTTGGGAGACTGAGGCAGACAGGCATTACCTGCTTGAACCTGGGAGGCAGAGGTTGCAGTGAGCCGAAATCTCACCACTGCACTCCAGCCTGAGTGACAGAGACTCCATCTCAAAAAAAAACACCAAAAACGAAAAAAGATAATACTTCCCTTGTGGATTTGGTGTGAGGAAACAGCGAGAGAAACCAACAGTAGACTTCTGGTTGGGTGCGGTGGCTCCTGCCTGTCATCCCAGCACTTTGGGAGGCCAAGGCAGGAGGATTGCTTCAGGCCAGGAGTTTCAGACCAGCCTGGGCAACATAGCAAGACCCCGTCTCTAAAAAAAAAAAAAAATTAGCTGGGCATGGTGGTGCGTGCCTGTGATCCCAGCTAGAGCCCGAGAAGTCGAGGCTTCAGTGAGCCATGATTGAGCCACTGCATTCCAGCCTGGGTCACAGCGAGACCCTGCCTCAAAAAAAAAAAAAAAAGTATATTTCTAACACTGTGTAGGTGTCAATAAATGGCATCCATTACTACATTCCTATTGCTGCTATTATTATTGCTTTAATTATTATTGTCATCCTTGGAACCCAGTTACCAATCTTTCCGGCTCCCTTTGGTGACCTGTTCACCCTGCCTCCAGTGATGTGTAATGCCACATATCTACCAAGCCACCTCCAACCATTTCTGGGTAATGCCTGTCTGCCTGGGCAATCTTGCAGTCTCGTTTTTCATTTTCAGAATTCTGTTGGGTGTTCTTGGCCCTTTACACTTCCACAGGAATTTGATTATCCTTTCGCCTGGTCTATAACTCTTCTTCTGTGATTCTTTCATACCTCTTCTCCGTATTTTCTTTTCTTTTTTTTTTTTTTTATGAGACGGAGTCTCGCTCTGTCCCCCAGGCTGGAGTGCAGTGGCGCGATCTCAGCTCACTGCAAGCTCCGCCTTCCGGGTTCACGACATTCTCCTGCCTCAGCCTCCCGAGTAGCTGGGACTACAGGTGCCCGCCACCACCCCCGCCTAATTTTTAAAAATATTTTTAGTAGAGACGGGGTTTCACCATGTTAGCCATGATGGTCTCAATCTCCAGACCTTGTGATCTGCCCGCCTCGGCCTCCCAAAGTGCTGGGATTACAGGCTTGAGCCACTGCACCCGGCCTTTTTCCGTATTTTCTTGCTTGCTTTTTTTTTTTCCCCCTGAGACGGAGTCTCGCTGTCGCCCAGGCTGGAGTGCGGTGGCAAGATCTCAGCTCACTGCAATTTCTGCCTCCCAGGTTCAAGCAATTATCCTGCCTCAGCCTCCCAAGTAGCTGGGATTACAGGCATGTGCCACCACACCCGGCTAATTTTTGTATTTTTAGTAGACACGGGGTTTTACCACGTTGGCCAGGCTGGTCTCGAACTCCCGACCTTGTGATCCACCCACCTCGGCCTCCCAAAGTGCTGGGATTACAGGCGTGAGCCACCGTGCCTGACCCATATTTTCTTTCTCAAGGTGGCTTCCCTCATAGTGGCAAAAGGGCTGCAGGAGCTCTGGGACTCACGTGCATCCTCCATCATGAACAAGAGGAGAAGGGAACCACCCAGGAAGGTCGCTCCTAAAACCCTGACTCACAGACACTGAACTAACACATGTTTATGGTTGTCTTAAAGCAGTCGGTTTTGAGGTCACCTGTTCTTCACAAGACGTAATGAATGCAGCAGTTCAGGCTTTCCTGCAGTCGACTGAGTTCTCTGGTAACTGTGAGCAGGACTGATGCGTGCCACCTGCAGGCCCACCCATACGAACTTCCCACCCGAACCTCTGCAGCCTCCATGCCCGGTCCTCTTGGCCTCAGGTCCCCTAGGCCAGCCATGGGGGCCACAAGCTGAAGACGGCAGAGGTACAAGAGGAAGAAGTCTGGGGCCCTCAATCATGGCTGGGGGATTGCTGCCCAGGAATACCACCTGACCAGAGACACCACATGAATGATTCCATGAGCAGGAAATAAATCTTCATGTTTAAGCCACTGAGATTTGGGGATTTATCCATTACAGTACCTAAAGTCACCTTAAACTAATACTCTTTCTTTTTTTTTTTTTTTTTTTTTTGAGTCGGCGTCTTGCTCTGTGGCCCAGGCTGGAGTGCAGTGTCGAGATCCCGGTTCACTGCAACCTCCGCCTCCCGGGTTCAAGTGATTCTCCTGCCTCAGCTTCCTGAGTAACTGGGATTACAGTCATACGCTACCACACCTGGCTCATTTTTGTATTTTTAGGAGGGACAGGGTTTCACCATGTTGGTCAAGCTGGTCTCGAACTCCTGACCTCGTGATCCTCCCACCTCGGCCTCCCAAAGTGCTGGGATTATAGGCATGAGCCACTGCGCCCGGCCTAATACTCTTTCATACAGAATTTTTTTTCCCCCAGGCTGGATTGTAATGGCGTGATCTCGGTCACTGCAACCTCCACCTCCCCGGTTCAAGCGATTCTCCTGCCTCAGCCTCCCAAGTAGCTGGGACTACAGGCGTATGCCACCATGCCCAGCTAATTTTTGTATTTTTGGTAGAGATGGGTTTTCACCATGTTGCCCAGGCTGGTCTCAAACTCCTGACCTCAAGTGATCTGCCTGCCTCAGCCTCCCAAAGTGCTGGGACTACAGGCGTGAGCCACCTCACCCAGCCTCATATAGAACTTTAGAGAGAATTTTTAAAGCACTTTCATAAACTCCCTTTAAATTGGATCCTCCTAACTCCTTGTGAGGTAGATAGGGCAGAATGCTCTTTTATCAGTGAGGAGAACTGAGGCTCAGAGAGGCTAAGACGCTTGCTCAACGTCACACAGCTCATGGGTGGAGCAGGAAGACAGCGAAGCAGGTGGTAGGATAACCTAGTCCAAGCAGGTTAAGCTTGGAGGACAGAGACGAGGTGTATGATTCCTGAACCCACTACTTATTAATCAAGGGAACTTGGGCAAGTCGATCACTTCTCTTTTCATTTCTCCATCTGCAAAATGGGAACCGTAAGGACTAACTTTCAGAGCTGCCTGGGGAGGTTCGGGAGAGAATATATATACACACAAGATTCCTGGCACCCAATAGGCATTCAGTAACTATTTGGAGAGTTGATACAGCGTTTAGCACAGCTGGGCACACAGTCTCTCCATTGCCTTAGCCATGCGTATTATTACGTTTATATTTTATTTACATAGGAACATGTTACGGTTGATCACGCTCCAGACTGTCATTTCAACAAGGCCCTGAGAACTTGGGAGCCCCTCAGGCCTCCTGGAACCCGTCCGGGCTCCCCCAGACATGCCCAGCCCCCGCGCAGCATGCGGCCCGCCCCCCCCATAAATCAGGCCCCGCGACCTGTAATTAACAAGCCGCGGTCCCCATCCCAGGGGCTTCCTGCGCCCCCCCCCCGCCTCTCCAGGAGTGGGGCGGGGGCGGGGAGCTGGGGGGTCCCTCCACCGCCCCTGATTTATGGGCCTCTGTGTGAAGGAGATTTATGAGCTAAGACCGGGGCCGGGACGCGTCGGGAGGCGCCCCAGGGGAGGGACTCGGGGGTCGCCGCCGCCTGAATCCCGCCGCAAGTGGGGGTCGCGGGAGGGGCCGAGGCTGCGGACCCCGCTCCTGGCGCTTCCCTCGGCTCCAGCCTCCCAGGGTCGGGCTCTGAGCTGGGGCGCCCGCGTTGGGGGATTCTTCACGGTCCTTGTTATCCGTCGCCCCGTTTTCAGATGAGAAAACTGAGTCTCAGTAAGTTTCCCCTGACTGCAAAGCTTCCGTTCTCAATTACTTTATTTATTTAATTTTTTTTTTTTGAGGCGGAGTCTCGCTCGGTCTCCAGGCTGGAGTGCAGCGGCGCGATCTCGGCTCACTGCAAGCGCCGCCTCCCGGGTTCACGCCGTTCTCCTGCCTCAGCCTCCCCCGAGCAGCTGGGACTGCAGGCGCCCGTCACCACGCCGGGCTAATTTATTTTTGTATTTTATTTTTGTAGAGATGGGGGTGGGGTGGGTCTCATTTTGTGGGCCAGGCAGGTCTCGAACTCCGCCCGCCTCGCTTGGCAAAGCGCCGGGACTACAGGCTGAACCGCGTGCCCGGCGGGAACTGGGCTCCTCTCTTTGGCATCTCTCCCCACTCACTCCTTTTCTGTCCCTTTTGATCGGCTCCTCTTCTTCCGACAATCCCTTAAAGGTCAAATGTCTCCTTTCAGCTGCAGCTTCTCTCCCGACGTTCAGAGCCGTGTTCCCGTGTCCGGGTGACCGTTCCGCAGACATCTCCACCCAGTTCCCACACTCTGCTCCCTGGCTCCCCGGCTCCCCACCGGGGTGAACGAGCAAAGGAACAAAACCATCGCCCACCCTCCCACCGCCTCCCGCCATCATTGTGGCGGACTCAGAAGGGAACTTTTTATTCCTAGACTCCAAACCTTAGCAACTTTGGAAAGAGAAACGTGGGGCGTGAAGAACAAAAGTGGAACCCCGGCGCCCTCTTCTGGTCAGAAAGTGGAACTCCAGGCCGGGCGCGGTGGCTCACACCTGTAATCCCAGCACTTTGGGAGGCCTGGGCGGGCGGATCTCTTGAGGTCAGGAGTTCGAGACCAGCCTGGCCAACATGGCGAAATCCCGTCGCTACCAAAATACAAAAATTAGCCGGGCGTGGTGGCGGGCGCCTGTAATCCCAGCCACTTGGGAGGCTGAGCCAGGAGAATCGCTTGAACCTGGGAGGTGGAGGTTGCAGTGAGCCCAGATCACGTCACTGCACTCCAGCCTGGGCGACAGAGCAAGACTCCATCGTCTCAAAAAAAAAAGAAAAAAGTTGAACCCCATGAAGCGCTCAGTTCAGGCCTCTTGTTGGGCTAAGGCCCTGCTGCTTGGTGCTGTCCACCTGGGGCTGCCCCTGCAAAAGCTGAAGTTTTATGTCTTGTCATCTGTGCTGGGAGAGGAAGCTGCTCTTTTGCGCTGGTCAGGTTCTTCCTGCACTTCTCTTGGAGGACCTTCAGGTCTTCATCATGTACAACCCGCAGTTTCATTGCACGTAGCCCACCTCTCCTGTCTCAGAGGAAAAATTGATACCATCAGATGCGAACCCTCAGCTTCCTGCCTGGGCCCACAAAGAGATCTGTCTGCACCCATTTGCACGTCCTGCTGTCTGAAGATAACCCTGCTGCTGGGGCGGTGGGGGAAGCATCTCCACTCCCACCCTCACAGAAGGTACACTTTGAGCCGCTAGCTATTATTCCCTCTCTCCAGTTGCTTTTTGATCTTTCATGGGTTTTTGGGGGGTGTTTTTTTGTTTTTTGTTTTTGCTTTTTGAGACAGGGTCTTATTCTGTCACTGAGGCTGGGAGGCAGTAGCATAATCACAGCTCACTGCAGCCTCGACCTCCTGGGCTCAAGCAATCCTTCCACCTCAGCCTCCCGAGCAGCTGGGATTGCAGGCATGCGCCACCAAGCCCGGCTAATTTTTTGTATTTTCAGTAGAGATGGGATTTCACCATGTTGGCCAAGTTGGTCTCGAACTTCTGACCTCGTGATCCACCCACCTCCGCCTCCCAAAGTGCTGGGATTACAGACGTGAGTCGCCGCGACCGGCCACCCATTTTTTGTGCTTTAATGAACGTTATTTTTTAGAATGATTTTAGATGTACAGAAAAACTAGGCCGAGCGAGTGGCTCCTGCCTGTAATCTCAGCACTTTGGGAGCCTGAGGTGGGTGGATCACTGGAGGTCAGGAGTTTGAAACCAGCCTGGCGAACATGGTGAAACCCCGTCTTTACTAAAAATACAAAAAGTAGCCAGATGTGGTGGCACACACCTGTAATCCCAGCTACTTGGGAGGCTGAGGCAGGAGAATCGCATAAATCCAGGAGGTGGAGGTTGCAGTCAGTGGAGACTGTGTCATTGCAATCCAGCCTGGGGGACAAGAGTGAAACTTTGCCTCAAAAGAGAAAGAAAGAAAAAAAAAAGATGTACAGAAAAACTGAGAAGCGAATACCAAGAGTCCCCCATGTATCCTGAACCCATTTCCTTGTTATTAACATATCACATTACTGTAGTACATTTATTACAATTAACGAATCAATATTGTCATATCATTATTATTAAGAAACCCTGTCTCTACGAAAAATTAAAAAATTAGCTGGGGGTGGTGGTATGCATCTGTAGTCCCAGCTACTCAGGAGGTTGAGGTGGGAGGATCCCTTGAGCCCAGGAGTTTGAGGCTGCAGTAAGCAAAGATCACGTCACTGCACTCTAGCCTGGGCGACAAAGCGAGACCCAGTCTCTAAAAAGTAGAAATAGGCCGCACGCGGTGGCTCATGCCTGTAATCCCAGCACTTTGGGAGGCCGAGGCGGGTGGATCACCTGAGGTCAGGAGTTCAAGACCAGCCTGACCAACATGGCAAAAACCCGTCTCTGCTAAAAATACAAAATTCGCCGGGTTCGGTGGTGCATTCCTGTAATCCCAGCTACTTGGGAGGCTGAGGCAGGAGAATTGCTTGAACCTGGGAGGTGGAGGTTGCAGTGAGCCAAGATCGTGCCACTGCACTCCAGCCTGGATGACAGAGCAAGACTCCATCAAAAAAAAAAAAAAAAAAAGTAGAATTAAAAAAGGGGTTTCAGGCCTACAAGGAGTCAGAAAAATTTCCCTCATGTGCATGAAATTGAGGCAGGTGAACATGATCAAAGAGATCAGAACTGCCTCAGAGATAGGAGTCTGGCAGGTGAGGGAAAGGAAGAAGGAAGTGCTGGGCAGCCGGGGAAGCTTGGCGAGGGGTGGACTGGTGAGCATGGGGCGTCAGCCTTTGTCCCCCGACCCCCACCCGCACACATACAGCCGGATGGGCCCCGGCTCTGTGGCCTCCAACTCTCACCCTTGAAGCTGCTGCAGTGAGCGCCGGAGAAAGAAGCCAGGAAGGAAACTGCTCCCACCCAGCACCTCCACCCGCCAGGAGCTGGCCGGTGTGGTTTCCATTTCTGCTTGTTTTCCTGGCGTCCACCCTCCGTTCTCTCACTAAAGTGATCTCTCTTGGCCGGGTGCGGTGGCTCACGCCTGTAATCCCAGCAATTTTGGGAGGCTGAGGCGGGTGGATCACCTGAGGTCAGGAGTTCAAGACCAGCCTGACCAACATGGTGAAACCCCATATCTACTAAAAATACAAAAAGTAGCCGGGCATGGTGGTGGGCACCTGTAGCCCCAGCTACTCAGGAGGCTGAGGCAGGAGAATCGCTTGAACCCGGGAGGCGGAGCTTGCAGTGAGCTGAGATCGTGCCATTGCACTCCAGCCTGGGCGACAGAGTGAGACCCTGTCCAAAAAAAAAAAAAAAAAAAAAAAAAACAACTCCCTTTTCTGTTGGAGCATCTCCATTCCTTTGTCCTCAGCACTTCGAATGGGATTGGCTTATGCCTGTCGGAGACTCCCCTCTTGGCCACAGCACATGGTTCAGGGACAGGCAGTTGCCAGTCAGAGCCAGTAAGATACCCAGAGAATTTTGCTGGAGCTGCCAGGAATGAAATACCTCCTGCTTGTGTGGAAATTGACTGAATAGACTCACACCTGCTGGACATACATGAGCATGGCTCTAGCTCTGGGAAATGACTGTCCATCGAGCAACCGTGAAGACGGGAGCAGGTTGGAGAATGGAGCTATTTGCAACAAGAAAAGAGAGCCGGGAAATGTGTTAAGAGAAAAACCAGGCTCTTGGTTACATTGTTTGAACGCTAGATCTCACCACGCCTAAAGATCTATCCCAAAACTCTTCAGTTACATGGGCCAAAATACCCTCTTTATTATTGAAGCAGTGTATTGACCTGTTACTTAAGCCGTTGTTTGCAATGTGAGGAGTCTGAAGGAATACGGATGGTCAGAGTCCATTTAATGTGTATATCTTGATTGTAAGGCTTGATCTTTTTTTTTCTTTCTTTGTTTCTTTTTTTTTGGAGGTGGAGTCTTGCTCTGTCGCCCAAACCCAGGCTGGAGTGCAGTGGAGCCATCTTGGCTCAATGCAACCTCTGCCTCCCAGGTTCAAGCGATTCTCCCGCCTCAGCCCCCTGAGTAGCTGGGATTACAGGTACCCGCCACCATACCCAGCTAATTTTTGTGTTTTTAGTAGAGATGGGATTTCACCGTGTTAGCGCTTTTTCTTTCTTTTTGAGACAGGATCTGACTCTGCTGCCCAGGCTAGAGTGCAATGGTGTGATCACGGCTGTCACCTCTGCCTCCTGGCTCAAAGCAGCCCTCCCGCCTCAGCCTCATGAGTAGTTGGGACTGCAGACGCCTGCCACCACGCCTGGCTAATTTTTGTGTGTTTTGTAAAGACAGAGCTCACCATGTTGCCCAGGCTGGTCTTGAACTCCTGGGCTCAAGCAATCCCCTCACTTTGGCCTCCCAAAGTGCTGGGATTACAGGCGTGACGCACCACGCGTCCCCCCACCCCGCCTTAATCTTTATAAGGACCATGAGGTGCTTGGAAGATGCAGAGATAAACAAGGTGGAATTCTGTCGTTAAAGAGCCCCTTCTTAGTCAAAAGAAGGAGAGGAAGAATGGCTTGAACTTGAACTCTGCCTCTTTTGAAATGCAAATATCCCCAATTAGTGATGACACAGATTCTACAAAATCAATTAATAGACATATCCTTGGCAGCCCAGCTGTGAAAGCCTGTCTCAGGTCACTGCTGGAGAGGCTGCTGATACAAAAAATTGACATTTGATACTTTTGCTCTAAAGATTTGGGATTGAGTAAGTCAATGCGTTCATCAATGAAATAGCAGCCTTTGAAAAACGCACCGTCGTGGCTGGGTGCGGTGGCTCACGCCTGTAATCCCAGCACTTTGGGAGGCCAAAGTGGGCAGATCACGAGGTCAGGAGATCGAGACCGTCCTGGCTAACATGGTGAAATCCCGTCTCTACTAAAAATACAAAAAATTAGCTGGGCGTGGTGGCGGGCGCCTTTAGTCCCAGCTACTCGGGAGGCTGAGGCAGGAGAATGGCATGACTCAGGAGGCGGAGATTGCAGTGAGCCGAGATCGTGCCACTGCACTCTGGCCTGGGCGACAGAGCAAGACTCGTCTCAAAAAAAAAAAAAAAAAAAAAAAAAAAGAAAACCATCATTAAATGGGATTAGCAAAGCTTTATTATTTACGTATTTAATTTTATTTTTGAGATGGAGTTTCGCTCTTCTTGCCCAGGCTGGAGTGCAATGGTGCAATCTCGGCTCACTGCAACCTCTGCCTCTTGGGCTCAAGCAATTCTCTTGCCTCAGACTCCCAAGTAGCTGGGATTACAGGCGACCGCCAACACGCCTGGCTAATTTTTTTGTATTATTATTATTTTGAGACGGACTCCCGCTCTGTCGCCCAGGCTGGAGTGCAGTGCCGCGATCTGGGCTCACTGCAAGCTCCGCCTCCCGGGTTCACGTCATTCTCCTGCCTCAGCCTCCCGAGTAGCTGGGATTACAGGCACCTGCCACCACGCCTGGCTATTTTTTTTTTTTTTTGTATTTTTAGTAGAGACGGGGTTTTGCCACGTTGGCCAGGCTGGTCTCGAACTCCTGACCTTGTGATCCGCCCGTCTCGGCCTCCCAAAGTGCTGGGATTACAGGCGTGAGCCACCGCGCCTGGCGGACATTGGGATTTAAGATTTCAAGGCAGGATTAGGCTGAGGTCCTCGGGTGGCCGTGTGACCTCTGCACACCCAGAAGCGCCTTCCTCCCTGCGCCTGCGCCAGGTCCAGCTTTGGGCTCCTGGGGTCTCAGCCAGTGCGCGGTCTTCCTGCCTCAGCTCCACGGGGAGCTCTTGGACGCTCCGCAGCGCTTTCGCAGAGTCCCCAGTTCTCCCGTCCCGCCGGGACTCCAGGAAGGGGTGAGTGTTTGAAGGCTCCTCCCACGGAGCGTGAGCATTTCCTGTACAGCAGCTGGGCAGCCTCTCAGCGGACTGGTGTGAGCTGGGGCTGCGGGGAAGGTTCCAGAACAGCGGGCTATGTTTAACCTGGCACAGGTGCCCAATTCCCAGCTCAGGGAAGGGGCGTGGTAGGTGGGAAACAATCTTGCTTTCATTGTTTTTTATCATTGCATTATTTTTTACATTAAAAAAATTTTTTTTGAGACAGAGTCTTGCTCTGTCGCCAGGCTAGAGTGCAATGGCACGATCTCGGCTCACTGCAACCTCCGCCTCCCGGGTTCAAGCGATTCTCGGCCGGGCGCGCTGGCTCAAGCCTGTAATCCCAGCACTTTGGGAGGCCGAGGCGGGCGGATCACGAGGTCAGGGGTTCGAGACCAGTCTGACCAACACGCTGAAACCCCGTCTCTACTAAAAATTCAAAAAATTAGCCAGGCTTGGTGGGGGGCGCCTGTAGTCCCAGCTACTCGGGAGGCTGAGGCAGGAGAATCGCTTGAACCTGGGAGGCGGAGGTTGCAGTGAGCCGAGATTGCACCATTGCACTCCAGCCTGGGCGACAGAGTGAGATTCCATCTCAAAAAAAAAAAAAAAAAAAAAAAAATAGCCATTCTCCTGCCTCAGCCTCCCGAGTATCTGGGATTACAGGCGCCCTCCAACATGCCAGCCTAATTTTTGTATTTTTAGTAGAGACGGCATTTCACCATGTTGGCCAGGCTGGTCTCAAACTCCCAACCTCAGGTGATCCTTCTATCTCAGCCTCCCAAAGTGCTGGGATTACAGGCGTGAGCCACTGCACCCAGCCCATCGTTTATTATTTTATTAAACATTTAGGATGCTGGATTCAGTGGGCATCTTCACCTGGTTTCATTACTAGTTTTCCTTTTCACAAATCCTTCCGGCTTGTTATTAAGAAATAACTTTAGGGGCCGGGCGCGGTGGCTCACGCCTGTAATCCCAGCACTTTGGGAGGCCAAAGTGGGCAGATCACGAGGTCAGGAGATTGAGACCATCCTGGCTAACACGGTGAAATCCCGTCTCTACTAAAAATACAAAAAATTAGCCAGGGGTGGTGACGGGCCCCTGTAGTTCCAGCTACTCGGGAGGCTGAGGCAGGAGAATGGCTTGAACCCGGGAGGCGGAGCTTGCAGTGAGCGGAGATTGCACCACTGCACTCCAGCCTGGGCGACAGAGCGAGACTCCATCTCAAAAAAAAGAAAAAAAAGAAATAACTCTCTCCCCCAGGGGCCAAAGAGGGCCGGGGAGAAAATGAAATTGACCAAGTGTCAATGAACGAGGGCAGGGGAGGGATAAATGCTCCATCCTGCTCCTTCAGCAGTGGGCGTGGGTCCAAAACGACTGTTAGACTCATAAATTGCTCACTTATCCTCCCTGTTTGCTCCAAATGGCTGGAAAAGCTATTTCTGCTAATCACAGGCGTAGGCCCGTTGCTGGAAGGGGGCCAGCCTGGGCCCAGCAGGAGTGTGAATTGCACCCGGATTCATTATCTGTATCTAGTCCCACATTTTAGTGGTAGGTTTTTGTTTGATTTCAAAGTGAGATGGTTAGGTCATTATTTGTTAAATTATAGCTTTTAATTAGCAGATCTATTGAAATGAAAAGCCTGGAAGAGACACACACACACACACACGCCGCTAAGTTTTTGTTTGGAATTTATAATTATTACTGTTAGGAAAACATTAGTTGGGGGCGTTAAAGTCATTTTTTTTTTTAAAGAAAATCTTCAAATTATGCGCTGTTGGGGGAAGGGGGGAGGGAGACACCAGTGAGCTAGAGACCTCCCGTAATGCCAACAGTATTATTACCCAGCCCCGGGTCCTTGTCTTTTTAGAAAGAAAGGGAACAGATGGGTTTATAGTAATTCATATTCTTTCTCCTCACGGCGGGAATCAGAGATTAAATCAGTGGGTAACCAAGACTGGCTGCCATGGAGTTCTGCTCCGTTCCTAATTCCCCTGGAAGGTAGGGAGGATGGTTGAGGGGCGGTGGGGTTGGAGCAGGGCAGTGTGGTGGGGAGTGGGTCAGCCTTGGTAGATTTGCCTCTGGGGGTTTAGTTTCTGCCTTTTGGAGGAACAAGGAGAGGCTAATATTCTCTCTCTCTCTTTTTTTTTTTTGAGTCTTGCTCTGTCGCCCAGGCTGGAGTGCAACAGCGAGATCTCAGCTCACTGCAACCTCCGCCTCCCGGGTTCAAGTGATTCTCGTGCCTCAGCCTCCCGAGTAGCTGGGACTACAGCGTGCACCCACTCCCGGCTAATTTTTGTATTTCTAGTAGAGATGGGGTTTCAACATGTTGGCCAGGCTGGTCTCGAACTCTTGACCTCGTGATCCACCTGTCTCGGCCTCCCAAAGTGCTGGGATTACAGGCGTGAGCCATGGTGCCTGGCCGGCAGTGATCTTGATCCCCACCCTCTTCCCCAGGGTTGGGGTGCGGGGGTGAGTTCCAATTCAGATGTCTTCCATCTTCTCTTATTTTGAAGCCCCTTCCTTTGAAAACAGGACACTTTGCAAAGGTCACTTGTAACCAGAGGCTTTCTGGTTGTGTGTTAAGGGTTTTTCTGAGTGAGCTTTCCCAGAAGGGGAGATGAGAAAATAGCCTATTAATAAATAGCACGTTGTTCTAAAAGAGTTAGGGGCTTCTGGCCAGGCGTGGTGACTCACACCTGTAATCCCAGCACTTTGGGAGGCCGAGACAGCTGGATCACGAGGTCAGGAGATCGAGACCATCCTGGCTAACACAGTGAAACTCTGTGTCTACTAAATATACAAAAAATTAGCCCGGCGTGGTGGCGGACGCCTGTAGTCCCAGCTACTCGGGAGGCGGAGGCAGGAGAATGGGGTGAACCTGGAAGGCGGAGCTTGCAGTGAGCCGAGATGGCGCCACTGCACCCAGCCTGGGAGACAGAGCGAGACCCTGTCTTAAAAAAAAAAAAAAAAAAAGAGTTAGAGGCTTCTGTTGTTATTGGGGAATTGTTTGTTTGTTTTGATTTTGCAAAACCTGAGTGTGGATCTGATGCTCCGCCTCCCCATCTTGCCTTCATCCTTATGCTTAACAATCCCATTTACTCCACTCTAGGAGTAATCAAAGATGTACAACCCTCTGCCTGTGGGGGAGAACAGCACAGATAAGAAGCGCAGAATCGGGAATTGTTTTCTGATGAGCAAATGTCAAATTTTATCGATGAGCTTTGGGGATGAGAGAAAGGGTTATCATGATAGCCTGAAGCAACTTAGATTCATTGCTCTGGATCTCTGATGGCAGAATACATGTTTGGGAAGTGATTCCACACGCAAATTTTGGTCTCTGAAAAAGGCTAGAGCAAGAAATAAATACAAGAAAAGGCATTAAAGCTTTTTACTCCAGTAACAACAAAAACCAAAAATTTAATTTTTGTAATTTCATGTTATTGAAAATCTACTCCAACTACATGTTTTGTTATTTTTTAAGCACATAATTGCTGCAGCGGCAGCTGTGTGCACTGGAGGGAATGGAATTCCGTCTGTCGTTCACGTGACTTTTCTTCCCCTCCACAGCCCCCAGCAAGGGTCCCCATGATCTTCCCTCCACAGCACCCAGCAAGGGTCCCCATGATCTTCCCTCCACAGCCCCCAGCAAGGGTCCCCATGATCTTCCCTCCACAGCCCCCAGCAAGGGTCCCCATGATCTTCCCTCCACAGCCCCCAGCAAGGGTCCCCATGATCTTCCCTCCACAGCCCCCAGCAAGGGTCCCCATGATCTTCCCTCCACAGCCCCCAGCAAGGGTCCCCATGATCTTCCCTCCACAGCCCCCAGCAAGGGTCCCCATGATCTTCCCTCCACAGTCCCCAGCAAGGGTCCCCATGATCTTCCCTCCACAGTCCCCAGCAAGGGTCCCCATGAACACAATTAAAACCACTGCACTAGGGGCCGGGCGCGGGGGCTCACGCCTGTAATCCCAGCACTTTGGGAGGCCGAGGCAGGTAGATCACGAAGTCAGGAGATCGAGACCATCCTGGCTAATACGGTAAAACCCCGTCTCTACTAAAAATACAAAAATTAGCCAGGCGTGGTGGCGGGCACCTGTAGTCCCAGCCACTTGGGAGGCTGAGGCAGGAGAATCGCTTAAATCCAGGAGGCGGAGCTTGCAGCGAGCGGAGATCACGCCACTGTACTCCAGTGTGGGCGACAATGCAAAATACAGTCTCAAACACACACACAAAAAAAGATGGGAATTCTACCAAACCTTTCAAGAGAAGATAATACCAGGGCTATTTAAATTGTTCCAAACTATAGGAAAAGAAGAAAAACTTCCAAAATCTTTTAAAAGGATGAGCACAAGACTGGTACCAAACCCAGGAAAGATTCCCCTAAAAATATAAATGTAGAAATATCTCAGGCATTAACATTAATGCAAAAAGTACACATTCAATATTAGTAAACGGAATATAGCATATTTATTTATTTATTATTTTATTTTATTATTTTTTTGAGACTGAGTCTCGCTCTGTTGTCCAGGCTGGAGTGCCGTGGCACGATCTCGGCTCACTGCAACCTCCACCTCCTGGGTTCAAGTGATTCTTCTGCCTCAGCCTCCCATGTAGCTGGGATTACAGGCGCCCGCCACCATACCCTGTTAATGTTTGTATTTTTAGTAGAGATGGGGTTTCACCATGTTGGCCAGGCTGGTCTTGAACTCCTGACTTCAGGTGATCTGCCCACCTCAGCCTCTCAAAGTGCTGGGATTACAGGTGTGAGTCACCATGCCCGGTCTAATTTTTTTTTGAGATGGAGTCTCGCTCTCGCTGTGTCGCCCAGGCTGGAGTGCAGTGGCGAGATCTTGGCTCACCGCAACCTCTGCCTCCTAGGTTCAAGTGATTCTCCTGCCTCAGCCTCCTGAGTAGTTGAGACTACAAGTCTGTGCCACCACACTTGGCTAATTTTTGTATTATTAGTAGAGACGGGGTTTTACCATATTGGCCAGGCTGGTCTTGAACTCCTGATCTTGTGATCTGCCCGCCTTGGCCTCCCAAAGCCGGGATTACAGGTGTGAGCCACCATGCCCGGCTAGCCTAATTTTTTTTTTTTTTAGATGAGGTCTCACTCTGTCACCCAGGTTGGAGGACAGCAAGGTGATCTTGGCTCACTGCAACCTTTGCCTCCTAGGCTCAAGCGATCCTCTCACCTCAGCCTCCCAAG